>NC_000013.11:93222675-93525706 GCF_000001405.40 Homo sapiens | reverse complement strand
GACTGACCTCAAGCTCAACCATCATCCCAGGCCTTTTTTTGTTAAGTACTTTAAGGTTGGTGAATAAAAAGAATGGCTCCTGAACAAATCAAAAATTAGTTCAGTTTTTCCACTTCGAGTGCTCAGAAGAGTCTATCCTGTTGTACTTTATAAAAGTTTCAATTTCCAGGAGAAATTCCCAGAAATAAGGCAAGGAGTCAGAGGTGAGTGAACCTGTATAAACCTATTAGAAGAAAACCTGACAGTTTTCCCAGATAAAATCCTAGAAGCTATTCTGTTTCACTGACACTCAGGTTTATTTTCTTTTCCAAACACATGCTCTTAGACAATTGGGTTTTGATAGCACATTTTGTGAGAATGATCTTTAGTTACCTCTTGGGGGGCATGTTCCTGACACTTTGCCCAAAGCACAGTGGAGAGCAAATGAAATCCAAGGATTTGTTTCATCACTTTGCTGTGCAAATGGCTGTAATTTGCAAGTTCAAAGCATGCAGTCTCTTGGGATTCAGAGTAAATTCTCTTTTCTTCTCCTTTCAAATTAATTTTGCTTTTCATGATTGCCCTGCCAAAGGATATAGACATGGTATGTACAAGGAGTGGTGGAATCTAGCCATGCTTGCAGCTTCCATGGGATTCATCCCTAAACAAATATTAGTAGGAGTCTACAGCTTCCATTAGAGTCAACGACCAAATACGGATTTTACTATGAAGAAGGTCTTGACCATTTACAACAAAATAGTGACTTTTAATTGCTAATTTCTGATTCCTTCTGAAGAAGATCTCCCGCAGAATTATCGCCCTCTGCAGAATTATTACAGCTAAATTTGCAGCAACACATGGCGAGGTACATACACACATTCAGTGCTGGCTTTTGGCACTTCATGCTATGGGAAAAAGAATTAAAGATATGGGCTTTGGTACTTGAAAGATTGTAATAGCATCAGCCCAACTACATTTCACAGAAAGCACATGTAGCTGAGTGCATTCTATCTTCCAGCTTCAAACATAACGATGAATCTTTCTCTAAAATAACCTTTGGGTACAGAAGTCTCAATGTTGACAATAGTGTCTCAAAAACTAAGAATTATATTTGGATGACTAAAGTGACTTGAATAAAGGGTGTGTACATGTATGAGAGAGGCAAACATGGATCTCCTTGTCCATATTAGAGGTGGACCAATGTAAACTTTCTTGTCCAAGGCTACATCCTGTGGGGAGAGGATGACATAAGGACTGAAGCAGTCAAATGAAATAAATTCAGTCTGCAAGCTCCCCTCATTTGACCCTCAAGTTATGCTCTATGGCAGGTTTTATTGTACCTATTTATTCATCTCTAGAGGTGAAGCAACTTACTTCCAATGTTCACCCCTTCTTGAAGCTGGCCTCACTTAGGAAGCATACTCCTGTTTGTCTTTGATTGCATGCCTGTTTCTAGTGATTTGTGGTTAAGGAGGTGAGTGGTGATTCTGAGTGTTGGACAAAGTCAAACCTCTCAAAGTTACCCTTTAGTGCATTTACTGGTATTTCAGCTCCTCCTTGCCTGAAAGAGTTGGGTATTTTTGTCTTTAAGTTTTACTAGTTGAAGAAAGTCAGGTTCAAGGTCACACAGCCCTTATTAGTGAGCCCCAAATTTACATGCAATTTGTTTGAACTCACATAGGAATGCTCCAGTATACATGACTTTCCCCCCTCTCTTTCCACTGAAATCTAATGTGAGGATATCTCTCTAATTCTTTTGAGTTCCCACCCTGTTTTTCCCAGGTTGCCACAGGCTTATTCTAGACTCACACTGGTCTGCATCCACACTCTCCTCCCAACCCCTCAAATCTTCCAGTGCACCTGGTCTATGGGGAGATGTGGATTCCCATATAGATTTTAACAAAAGCTATTCAAAATGAGAGAAAAGCAGAAAGCTTTCGGAAGTTAATTCTGATAGAAAGCAAAAAAGAACAAAGAAAAAAATTCCAAACAAATGGAAAAGTTAGCAAAGCAACATCAAGACTTTTGATTTGGGGGATCATGGAGACATACATTTGAATCTTTGTCTTTCAACTTAGGAGCTGTGTAAAATGTAAAATCAGGCATAACAAAATACCCATAATCACAGCACTGTGAGGAAGATGACATATTGCAGCAAATGAGGAAGTGCGTAACTTATAGTTGGTATACAATGACATTTTACACACACACACACACAAATATGTATATACACATATATGTATGTGTATGTGTGTAAAATGTCATATGTGTGTATGTGTGTGTGTGTAAAATGTCATACACCAACTGTAAGGATAATATTTAAAAGAGGATATATATATACACATACATACATATACACACATATATACATGTGTTTATATACATATACACATGCATATATATATCCTCTTTTAAATATTACCCTTATATGTTATTTACACACACATATATAAATATACACAATATTATCCATATATGTGTATATGTACATATGTGTATATATGTACCCATATATACATATACACAATATTATCCATATATGTGTATATGTATGTGTATATATGTACATATATGGATAATATTGTGTATATGTATATATGGGTACATATATACACACGTGTGTGTAAAATGTCATACACCATGTTACACACATATATGTATATGTATACACATATGTGTGTGTGTGTATGTATTTGTATATATATATATATATATTTTTTCCCTCTTTCTTTTTGATCCAAAGACATAGATGATATTGGAGAAATAACTTTCTGACATCAAACTGCTTTTTCCTTCCTCTTCCCTCCACCTTTGTCTCCTTCAGATGCTAAACAAAATCACTGAAATGTGCAGCCAAGTAGCAATTCAGATAGGAGCCACCAGCACTTCTCTTTCAACCTCTTCCATGGCAAAGAAAAGACTTGCTTCCAATCTGCTGCTAAGTTTGAATTTGATAGCCAAAAAAATGCCTCCGGATTTTAGCCTATCTGCAGAGCAGCGGGAAGGAATCAGTGAGAGCCAAAGTTACTCACACTGGCTACATCCACTGTTTTGTTTTGTCTTTGATGACTTAGCTCATCTCCTCTGAAGCATGATCTTTTTGGAAGCCAGATTCTCAGGATTCATCTAGCATGACCGGAGCATAAGTATATAATAAAACACATCTCCAACATTTCTGCCATAAAGGGAATATTGTTAAAGGATAATATTTAACAGAGGATATAATCATAGTCCATACATATGTAAGATAAACATTTGTCAGGGATGTTATTTAGCTAATTAATGGGAAAATAAGTAAGAAGTTACAACTAGTTCAATGGTGAATTCAAAAAACCACAAAAATGTTAGCAAAACTTAATGATGAAATGAATTATACATGAACACAAAACTGGATTATTCCAGGAATCGGAATGGGGTGAGATTGGAAGCTAAAAATCAGTTGTGCTTCTATGGGACAAAATTAATTTGCATGTCTACAGACAAGAATCATTTGCATTGCTATCAATTATCTCTAACCAACAGAGTTGTAAAATAGCTCAAAGATAATGACAGGCGCAGAGACCCCATATAATCAGATAACCCAGAGGGTGTGCCTAGAAACTGCTTAGTTTTCCACCAAAGATACCCAGCAATCATTTTGACTTGTTTCAAAGTCTGTCACACTTTTATCTAAAATATAAATTTAAGATAAAATGAAACAGCACAATAGAAAGTAATTGATACTTATTTTAAAAGGAAAGCTAAGGATAAAGGTGACTTAAATAAAACCTAGTCTTTCTATGTGTATCTAGAAAAGATTAACAAATTAGAAAAGGAAAAAGAAAGTCTATACCTAAAACCTAGCATATGATAAAATAAACTGCACTTATTGTCTTCTTCCCAAATTTTGGAGTTTTCCCATCATTAAAAGCTACCTGAAAATACACCCTCAACTATGTCATTATTTTAAACACATAGCTGGGGAATGAGCCCAATACCACTGGAGAACTTAATGTTAGCACAAGAAATGATGCCTTGCCACCAATCACCTCATATAAGTATGTTACAGTATATTATCTTAGTATTTGTCACAACCTGTTAGCATTTTTCAAGAGCAGTCATGCTGTATGAAGAGCCATGGAAGCCCATGGGGCACCCTCCTTCAGAAATAAGGCAGGCATTGTAGACAGTTCAAAGTAAAAGTGATAACTGTAAAAGCAATGGCTAATCAGCCTGCACCAGCGTTCACAAGCACCTGCCAACATAAGACAAGTAAGTTCTGAAGCATTAATAGGTCCAGAATAGTAGCACTGCTGGAAATCCCAGTGGCTGTCACATTTAAGTGATGAAATTAGTATATCAAGTAGCTTTACCAAGTATACTGGTCTATCGCATCAAGATAATTTCATTTAGTACATATACCACTTTCACCCTAAAAAAAAAGAAAAGAAAAGAAAATAAATCTTCCCCTGGAGTTAATTCTTAGACTTCTGTATCTCTCTTAGAAAGAAAATGCAATATTATTCCAGTTTAAGACTCTAGAATAAATTATCTCAACAGATTCCTAAAATCTGTTCAACTAGATGCTTTATAGGTGATGGTTTTCAGAGACAGCAGTATTCCACTAAAAGATTTCCTTATATTCCCTTAAATTTCAAGTACTAATGAAATTACTTCTTAAATACAAAATCTAACATATACGTGTACATTTCCATTGATAATCACAATTAGATTACTAAAGTTCTTATATTTTAAATGTAAAAGATAATGTAGAGATTACTTAACGTGACCTCCACACTCTATAGATGAAACTCTTTGGCTCACCTCATCAGTTCCGAGACAGAAGTAAAAAGGTGGGTTTCTGAACTCCAATATCATGTCATCTCCATGCCTGTATAGTTTGTCTATAAGTATATATAGTTTGTCTATAGTATAGTTTGTCTATAGTTTGTCTATAAGTTTATTATGTCATCTCCATGCCTGTATAGTTTGTCCATGTAAGTTATCTACTATGAAAAACAGTCCAAATTTATTATGTTTTCTACTTTATCTATACTCCATAAATGCTATTCACAGAAAATCACCAAAAGAACATGCTATTAAAGAATTAAAACACAGAGAATCTTTACATGTTAATTATATTTTTAAAAGACTTGTTTCAAAATTTTCCAACACTCTTAAAAATCTTCAAGTGTTTTTTTTTTTTAAAGTCTATTTCAGCAACTTGGCTTGTGAGGATACTTACTGATTCCTTTAAAGCAAAACTAATACTTATTAAAATGTTGCTCATTTGCAACTGGTCCTTTGATTGAAAAACATTAATGCATTTTTTTGAGAAAGTGACTTGTTAATAGGTCAATTTGTCACCTGGCAAAGAATTTAAGGAATCTGTAACTCACATGCTAATGGTCAATAACAAGCCTAGGGCAGCAAGTAAAATTTGTAGTCAACCAATGCTCCTCAAATCAAGGAAGATGGACCATCTGGTACCTGGATTGGACAATGCTATAATTTCGCACAGTCACCAGTAATATATCAGCTGCACTTTCCAAGTTGGTGGTATTCTGATAATATTTTAACTTGCTTCTAACAGCTGCAAATCAAAGCTTTTTAAGGTTCTTGAAAATGAAAACTAGAGCCAACCCAGTTGGCCTAATGTGTCTTAATCATTCATCACAAGTTTATATGCTGAAGTTTAGTAAAATCTATGATGAATGAACAGCTGACACTTTCTATGTTAGAATAGGCAAGAAAATTAAGATGTCAAATAAGTCTTGCAGAGAATAGTTACACTGTTTCATTACAAAATTCAATTTAATACAATTCTTAGCTGATGACAAAATTCGTTTCAGTTTTTATAAAAAACCATAGCAAAGCATTCTTTTAAAGACGTTGAATTTTCACATTTTCTGTTTCACAAAGAATACAGAGTCAAAGAATATAGAGTAACTTAGAAATATAACTTTTAGATTTTTCTTTTAATTACAGTCTGAGCCAGGCATGAAAGAGCCTCATCTATTTAGGCTCTATTGAATGGTTACCTGTTTCTCTAAGAGGGGAGTGTCATCCGCCTCCCAGAACCCAGCAGACTGGAATGCAATCAAACTCAAACATTGACTGTGATGCTAAGATGTGCTTTGGTGAGTGTTTTATTTTAACTGTCATAATCACATCAGAAAAAAATAATCTACTCAAGTGCAAATTAAAGTGTATCCCTTTTATTTTTTCCCTTCATCAACTCAGACATTATTATGCAGAAAGTGATTTTCAGGTTGAAGATCAGATTTTGTTTAGTGTTTCTATCTTGGCCTTGTACTAGGAAAATGTAGTTTAAGCTTTTTGTACATTGCTAATGTGTGGAAATTGCCCCACTTTTACGGAAGAATGTGTGTGTATGTGTGTGTAACAGAAACACACAGATGTGCATGTTTGCATATGTAACATCTTCTATAATTTGTTTAAAGTTCATTAAACTAATAAATGTTAAATGAGATAAAATTCTAAAACCTATTCTATAAATTGGAGGATGGTCAGTTTGAATGTAGAAGAATACAGAAAAGTTACACCAGTTTTGGTAGGTGCCTTAGGCAGAAGTAAGCAAACTTTTCTGCAAAAGGCCAGATAGTTTAAGCTTTAAATTTTAGAAAAATACTTTAGGCTTTTAATATTTTTAACTATTTCAGTCTTTGCGGTACATAAGATCTCTATTACAACTACTCAACTCTGCCTGTGTAGCTGAAATGACAGCAGCCATACACAATACATAAATGAATTAGTGTGGCTATGTTCCAATAAAACCTTATTTACTAATACTGTGTGCAAACTAGGTACGGCCTACTGACCTTAGTTTGCTAATCCCTGGTTTAGCCTAGAAATCCTGTTCTTTTATACTGATGTCTTACACTTTGTTAACTATCAACACAGTCCTGCATAATAAACACAATTTATATTGCTACTTGGGAAACAAAGTGCTTTTAAATCTTAATCATATTTAAGAATTACAGTAATTCTTTGAGAAAGGCCCTATTGCATTTACCATTTGCAGAGAAGAAAACAAAGGCTCACAGAGGCTTAACTACTGGCCCAAGAGAGTCCCAAAGCAAGTGTTATCTTCCCTCTGCTGGCATTATTTTGTAGCTCACTATGAGAAAACTTGATGTTTACTAAGATAACAGTTAAGGAACTTTGATTTCCCTAATGAAATGTTCAATTTATACATATTTTAAATATCAGAATATGAATTAGGATGTCAAAGGCTCTGTTTTCAAGAAGTGAAGCTAAGGATGAGAGAGGTGTCAAAGACGGTAGTAGGGTTTGCCTCCAGGTGTCTGATAGAGGTGTGACTAACAGATTGGAAAAGTGGAGAAGCAAGAAGAGTTGACGGAACTAGATTAAGGCCCATCTGTGCTCAGAAAAAGAGGCACACTTATAGGTTTACATTTGAATGTATCCACATAAAGAAAATAATTAAGGAAGCCGGGAAGTCTCCAAAACAGGACATAGATAATGATCAAAACTCTGTCTAGATAAGTTTTCAGAGAGGAAGTAGCATTTAACCACCATTTTCTCTTCGATAGACATAAAATTCAGGATTCTGTGAGCTCCTGTGCTCTGAGGCTCCTTTAAAAGAATCAACTTTGTATCCCAAACAAAACTGAAAAACTGTTTGATAAATGAATAAATTTGACATTCAAAACTCCAAGAAGCTACTACCTGGATGTAAGTATCATCTTACAGTTTTACTACATATACCCCTAAAAATAATAATAATAATATTAATAAGCAATTTCTTCCCTGAATTTTACTATAACTAAAATTAGAAGAGAGATTTGCTGAAAAGGAAAAATAGCCACTGATTTTAAGCATTGAATAGACTAAAATTGCTGACTTATGTGCTTTTTAAATGTGAACCTTATCTAATATGAAGGCATTTTCATGGCACTCCTTGTCACTCTACCCAAAG
The DNA here is from genome assembly GCF_000001405.40 of Homo sapiens. NCBI lineage: Eukaryota > Metazoa > Chordata > Mammalia > Primates > Hominidae > Homo > Homo sapiens. The sequence goes on along the minus strand of NC_000013.11, from coordinate 93,517,785 downwards.
AAAGATTTGTATTCCCTCACTGGAGTTATTAAGAGCTCTTGCTGTAGTACATGCCAAGATAGGTTAACACCCACAATATACTGATGCTTGAAACAAACCTATGAAATGGTCATTTTTAAGTGATGTTCTGGGCAGATCTGACTAAAAAAATTACAACAGCCACTGAAGTCTAGTTGGAGTTAATTTCTCTCCAAATTAACTTCCCAAATAAAGCATAAAGAACATAAAAATGCAAAGAGCACCAAATGTGAATGAATTAATTATGGCGAATGGAAAAAGAATCTAATTTCAAACAAATAACAAACAAAACCTCCACTGAGTGATTCACATCATCTGAAAATTACAGCCATGAACTTCAAGAATTAAAGCAATTAAATTTTAAAAATGAATAATTTTCCCAAGTTAGCATATGAAAATGTAGCACTTCTTATTATCTGGTTGCCTGAAAAGGAGGCTTGGCCTTGAAAACACATTATCCCCAAAGGGCCATGGAAATTAAATATGAGGCAAGAAATCATATTATCTTACATTTGTTCTTCCTAAGTACATCTTCCTTAGATACTCCATCATTCCTGTGATGAAAGGTGTTTCTGAGACACAAGGTACAAGAGGAAAAGTATCAGGTGATTCTTGTTGCCTTATTAAACCTCATATTTCTCTTTAACGTTTGGTGACAATAGTACACAGTAATTCTCTCTTTGTCTATGAATGCATCTAAAAATAACAAGTGAGTTCAAAATAATTTTCCCTTAAAATCCACATCTTGCTTTTCTAGCAAGAGAGAGCTACATAATGCCTGGCATAGAACATGTATTCAAAGTCTCTTTGTACTATTGGTTAGCTTTGGCCCCACCACATACAGTCCTGACCAAGCTACTGATGGTAATGATCTTTCTAATTCAAAGAGACTGCTGCAAAACCTAGCTAACTGCATATCCACCCAATTCAAAAGCTGGAGGTGATTTTATAGTTTAAAAATTCAGAGGAGCCCACAGGCAGCTAAGCTACCAATTTCCTTCATCCCACATATATGTTCTTATACACCTGTTGCTCACAGAGCATAATATAAAAATGCAAAATAAATACCTTTTTGGTTTTGTTTTGCTTTGTGCATAGATAGGATATCCCATGTTGTTCTATCTTGAAGGGTTTCTTCTTTTCCTACTTTTATAAGTAATTATTTTTTTTATTTCCCATTAAAACTTAACTTACATTGATTTTTGCTTTTGTTCAGAAACCTTTTACTGGTGTTGAAAACCTATGCCTGTCTCTTGAAAAATGTATTCACAGCTTGTTTCCAATTGTACCTGTGCCCCACTTCCTGGCAAAACTCTCCTGGTAAATTGGCAGTATGGGAGGTCCACAATTCTGGGCATTCTTCCCTGCATATTCCAGAATGTTCTAACCCCAAGACCATATTTGATGAATAGATTGGGCTTGGCGACTTCATTAATAAGGACTCCATTCAAGCATTCCATGTTAAGATATAAGGTTGCTAATGACACATGAAAAAGTGAGTGCAACATAGAAAACTGCACATCTGGAGAGAGTTGATAACATCGGTGCTGTGAAGATTTCTCTTTTGATGTGAACCTTTTACTCTACTCTTTTTACTGATGGGCTAGCTACTCCTCTAAAACACACACTGGCTTTTAAGATTTCAAACTTGCTGCTAATGAATTTTTCACATGGCAAGCTTCTACAGTAACAGAGTTCTGAAAGAGCTTTCACCAATGTTGCAAGAAAAGCTGTCGATCTCTAAATGGATTTTGATAAAACAAGTTAAAAAAATACCTTGGGAATTTTTTAGGAAATGACTTACATAAGCCACTATGTGAGTTTTGCTAGATATTTACTATTTTCCTTGGCTTTCTGCGTGTGTGCCTAGAGCTCAAAATTTCTATAGAATTTTTCTATAGATATGACTTTTTCTGAGATTTCAAGTACTTCATTTGTGGATCCTTAATAGTGAGTTTCACTTTGTATTTTATTTATGGTTAATTGTGTGTCTAAATACTCTACTACAAGATACTTGAGAGCAAGAGCATTTATTTAACATGATACGTCACTAGTCAGTATTTAAAAGACAGACTAGTAAGAATGAATATATTTTCAGTATTTATTTTGCCTTTGGAATTTTACTGGGTGACTTACATACAATTAATCATTTCATTTTCAGGACAAACCTATGAGGTAAGTGGTATTGCCATCATTTGCAATTGAAGAAACATAAGGCTCACAAAATTTAAATAATTTGCCCAAGTTTCTGAAGTTAGCCATTGGTGGAGGCAAAATCCAAGCTCCAATCCATCTCCAAAAGAAATTGCTGAATAGACATCTATTAAATGTATTATAAAAACATATTTGATTATCCCTACATAGCATGCATTACTTCATGCAATTTAAAAGAGCTATAAAAACAAATAAATGGTAACAGTCCAGATTAATGTCTTAGTTCAGGCTGCTGTAACAAGAAGATCATAGGCTGGGTGGCTTAAATAACTGAAATGTGTGTCTTAAAGTTCTGGAGGCTGAAAACTCCAAGACCCAGGTGCCAGCAGATTTGGCATCTAGTGAGGACCCTTCGCCTGATTTAAAGATGACCATCTTCTTACCGTATACTCACTCACATGGCAGAGAGAGGACAAAAGCGAGAGTGAGAGCAAAGACAGGCAGTGGAGATAGCAAGAGAGAAAGGAGACAAGCTCTCTGTTTTCTTGTAGGGGCACACAGATACTACCATGAGCCTCCACCCTCATCACCTGGTTACCCCACAAAGGCCCCCTCTCTAAATGCCATCACACTGGGGATGCGAGCTTCAATGCATGAATTTTGGGAGACACACAAATATTCAGCCCATAGCAATGAGTTATGTAATTTTCATATAACAAGCAATGCCAAATGTGTTTTTGTTTGTTTGTTTTGTTTGTTTGTTTTTTTCCTCACGACGACTCTACGTCCAATACAGGTTGGTAGGGGATTCTGTCCCTCATGAACACTCAATAATTCAGGCTAACTCATTCCCTTCTCTGAACAAATCCCAGTCTGACTTTTAAAGCCTCCATCTGGAAACGAGACAGTTCATTTCTACTCACATTTCATAGAAAAATAAATCATGTAGCCATACCTAACTTAAAAGGGAATAGTGAAATAAAATTCTAACATGTGCCCATACGCAGGAGAATCTGTATATGTGGGAGTAGTTCCAATGACCATTGCATATGCCTACCAAGGATGTGAGATGCTCTGAAAAGATAAATTATACTCACTGTGTATTTACAATACAGCCTCAAAGTTATCTGTTCCAAGGAGCTTCTGGCCCCATGTAGAGTTTTGCCCTAACATTTTTGGAGTCCATATTTATTCTTGTTCCTTAATGTTATTGAGTGGTTGTGAGTCTTATTTTCCCTTGAGAGAATATTATGAGAAAAGGTAAAATAGACCGCAAAACTGCTAACAGTTGACTCTTCTTGTATTCTGGGATTGAGTGCAGTAAGGCTCTCTAAACCAACAGAGCACCTATGGCTTCCCTCCTGCCACACAGACGTCTGTTCAGCCAACCAACTTCTCAAATAATCCAAGTCTTTCTGGTTACTAGTGAAAAGATGAATGTGACCAGGAGTGGTGGCTCACACCTGTAATCCCAGCATTTCGGGAGGCTGAGGCGGGTGGATCACTGAGGTCAGGAGTTTGAGACCAGCCTGGCCAACACGGTGAAACTCTGTTTCTACTAAAAATACAAAAATTAGCTGGGCGTGGTGGTGGGTGCCTGTAATCCCACCTACTTGGGAGGCTGAGGCAGGACAATCGCTTCAACCTGGGAGGTGGAGGTTGCAGTGAGCCAAGATTGCTCCATTACACTCCAGCCTGGGCAACGAGAGTGAAACACCGAAAAAAAAAAAAAAAAAAGCCATCATTCAGCAAAGGATTCGTTCATGGGATTTCATGCCACTGGTGTTTGGGAAAATCATCAGAGAGGCTGATTCTCAGCACTTACAACCCAAGGACTTTAATGAAGGGCTATAAAAATATTCAGTCTGCATAAAGTAGAGGTTTAGTCAGACAAGTCTGGCATCACAGAAATCGTGCAATCGTGCAATAGCTGTGTCCTTTGAGTGACTACCAAGAGACTGCAAAAGGGCAGGAGGAGTTATTGAGTAATTGCCTAAATCCCAAATCCAGGCTTTTATTTTAGAATATCTCTGGTGCATTATAATGAACACCACAAGGCAGAAGAACATGATAAGATTCACTTTGAGAATACCAACATTTACTAATTACCAGACACAAAGGTAAAACCTAGAATCATAGTCAAACAATATAAGGTGACAATAGTAAAATTACAATGAATTTTCAGGGCAAAGATCACCAATTTGATTTGGCTAGGTTTATGTTGAACACATGTATTTTACAATTACACAATTGAAAGAAGGCAGAAAATGAAAAGAAAACAAAAGGTCAATTGTAACTGTCATTGGTTTATCATCCCAGGGGCATCCGGGGACTGAGGTGAGGTGGTAAGAATGATTCTATTGATGAGAGTAAAATGTAGATTTAAAGTCTGAGCTGTAATAAAAAAGGTGGAAACTACTACACAAAGTGTTCATCTTACTCCCGCTTGATTCCCAACAGAAGCTACACTGGAGAGAGAACCAGTGAAAAGCAAAGATTAATTCCAGGGACTCAAGTTTGTAATCCAGTTTACAGCAATGGCTCAGTTTTTCAAGGACAATAGCTAACAAAGTCAAGTCCTCCTAGCATATGATACAGATCAGCCATGAATATCTAGCATAGCTAATTTACTCAAGTTAAATGGACACCTTGCACTGTAGTAGCCTTTTTAAATCTGATTTTCATATATACTTTAGAAAAAGTAGTTTTATCATTCTCAGTTCTATAATATCTCTGATATTATAGTTATCTGCTTTTGTGTATAGAAAATCCTTTTAGCATATTATTGTTTAATATCTAGATAATGCCAATTTTTGAAACAACCTACCATTTAGCTACAAATTTTTATCCTAAAATCAACCCACTTGCAGTTACCACATAACCTCACAAATAACTAGTATCTTCTTCCTTCTCCTAACCAAATTTTTCCCAACTCATTTAATGAGGCCAGCATCACCCTGATAACCAATATCAGATGACACAACAAAAAAAGAAAACTACTTGCCAATATCCCTAATGAACATAGATGTAAAAATCCTCCATAAAATACAAGCAAACTGAATCCAACAGCAAATCAAGAAGATGATACACCATGATCAAGTAGGATTTATAGCAGGACTGCAAGGATGATTCAAGATACACAAATCAATTAAGCTGATACATCATGTCAATAGAATGAAAGAAAAAACGATTTCAACTGACACACAAAAAACATTTTATATAATTCAATATCCCTTTAGGATTAAAAACAAACTAAACATAGACAGAACACACCTCAATATAACAAAGGCCATATATGACAAACACACAACTAACAGCATACTAAATGGGGAAAAGTTGAAATCCTTTCCTGTCAGAACTGGAACAAGTCAAGGATGCTCACTTTCACTACTTTTATTCAGTATAGCCCTGGAAGTCTTAGCCAGAGCAATCAGAAAGAAATAAAATGCATCCAAATTGGAAAAGGAGAGGTCAAATTGTCCATTTTTGCTGATGATATGACCTCATATTTAGGAAAGCCTGAAGATTCCACCAAAATATCTCTTAGATTTGATAAATGAATTCAGTAAAGTTGTAGAATACAAAAGCAATGTACAAAAATTTGTAGCATTTCTGTACACCACTAATGATCTAGTCAACAAAGAAATCAAGCAGGCAATCCCATTTAAAATAGCTACAAAAACAAACAAACAAAAAAACCCCAAAGCCTTGGAATACATTAAACAAAAGGGGAAAGATCTATACAAGGCAAACTACAAAACTTGGGTGAAAGAAATTGAAAAAACACAAACAAATGGCAAAATATCCCATGCTCATGGATGGGAAGAATCAATATCATTAAAATGACCATATTGCCCAAAGCAATCTACAGATTCAATGCAATCTCTATCAAAATAACAATGTCATTCTTCATAGAATTAGAAAAAACGATCCTAAAATTCATATGGAACCAGACTCCAAATAGCCAAAGCAATCCTTAGCAAAAAGAACAAAGCTGGAAGTATTCCATTACATCACTTCAAAAATTATTACAAGGCTAAAGTAGCCAAGACACCACAGTATTGGAAAAAAGTAGATACACAGACCAATGAAACATAATAGAGAACCCAGAAATAAAGCCACATATTTAGAGCCAACTAATCTTTGACAAAGCCAAAAAAATTTATATTGGGGAAAGGAAACCACCTTCAATAAATGGGAAAATTGAATATCCATACACAGAAGAATGAAACTAGACCTCTATTTCTCACTGTACAAAAATCAACTCAAAATAAAGACTTAAATATAAGACCTGAAACTATAAAAATACTAGTAGAAAACCTAAGGAAACCCCTCCTGTATATTGTTCTAGACAAAGAACTTACGACTAAGACCTTAAAAGATCAGACAATAAAATCTAGGAGACAAAAGGGACTTAATTTTTAAAATGCTTCTGCACAGCAAAAGAAATAATAAACAGAGTAAAGAGACAACCTGTTGAATGGGGGAAAATATTTGCAAACTATTCATCCGACAGGGGACTAACATCCAGAATATTCAAGGAACTCAAAAAACTCAACAGGAAAAAAAAACAAATAATCTCATTAAAAAATGGCCAAAGGACATGAATATATATATATATATATACACATATATATATACACATATATATATATATATATATTTCTCAAAAGAAAACATACAAATGGCCAAGAGGTATACAAAAAAACTGCTCAACATCACTTATGATCAGGGAAATGGAAACCAAAACCACAATGAGATATCATCTTACCCCGGTCAGAATAGCTAGTCTTAGAAAGACAAAATAACATGTTGGTGAGGATGTAGAGAAAAGAAAAAGCTTATACGCTGTTAGTGGTAACACGCTAGTAGAAAACAGTGTGGAGATTATTCAAAAAACGACAAACACAATTACCATTCAATCCAGGAATCCCACTACTGGGTATATACTCAAAGGAAATGAAACCAAAACATCAAAGGATACCTGCATTTGCATGTTTCTTGCAGCACTATTCACAATAGCAAAGATAAGGAATCAAACTGTCTATTAACAGATGAATGAAGAAAATGTGGTATATATACACAATGGAATACTCTTCAGCAATTAAAAAGTATAAAATCACGTCATTTGCAGCAACATGGATGGAACTTAAGGTCATTAACTTAAGTGAATAAGCCAGGCACAAAAAAGACAAATATTGCATGCTCTCACTTATAGGTGGGAACTAAAAATGTTGATCACATGGAGGTAGAGAGTGGAAAGATAGATAACAGAGACTGAGAAGGCTGATTTGGGGGAGAGGGAAGATGAAGAGAAGTGGGTCGAAGGATACAAACATATAGTTAGAAGGAACAAATTCAATGTTTGATAGCAGACTAGGGTGACCATATTAACAAAAATGTATTGTACTCAAGAGATAGACATCCTAAATATCCTGCCTTGATCACTACACATTACATGTAACAAAATTTCACAAAAACCCATAAAATTATGCCAAAATTGGTTTGAGGGCATAAAATATTAGAGAGACAGACATAATGTTTAATTTCAGGAGTGCTGAAGAGAAAAAAACATTCAGAAGAACCCAGTTTATTAACAAAAATATGCCTTAAAGTATAAATTACCTTCTCATGAAAGAAATTCAATTTATGATTCAACAGAAAAATCTGTGTGCTAGGTATCTGAGAAATCTGCATCTGCACAGGCGCCTAAGAATCAGAAACCAAGCAGAGCTGTCCTAACTATTATGCAAAACAAAAATGAATAACAAAGTAGGCAATTTCCTAAAGTAAATTAAAATGCAATAGCAGGCACTTCATGAATATTTGAGAGTTTTCTTTTTCTCAATGACAAGCACCTGCATGTCTTTTACTACTTTTGCTGTTCAAAACACATGGAACAAATGGTGTTAAATCCATACTTCAAAGAGCCTGTGGAACTCGGTGAGGGCTCTCATGTTTGAGGCAAGTTGCTTTGGTATGTCCACAGATATTAACATTTAGACAGAAGCTTTAAGAAAATAATCATCATTATGAATAAGCAAATACTCTTCAAGGGCATTCTAAGACTATCAATGGAAGGCATTTGGTTTACTCATTATATTGTTCTAAGATTTCACAAGGCTTGTTCTCAGACCCTGTGCTGAGTTAAATGAAGATGTACCCTTTCTTTGAGTCAAGAAGAGCAGCAACAAATGAGCCTTTGAATCCATGTCAACCATGACGTGTTATTGGAGAGGAAGGCAGCCCAATTCTTTCATACTATTAAGGCATAACTACTACATTCATTTGATATTTATACTACATGGAGAATGTAATTCATTTTGGAAACAGCTTTTAACATGTCATCACCTGACTTGTTGCCTGATAAAATGGCCATCAATAAATCTTTACATTGGAAGGTGCACAATTTCAATGAACTTGGTAGCATGATGTGCTTTTAGTTTTAAAGGATAACTCAAATGATTTTAAGTCTAACTCAAATGCACCTATTAATTTTGCCTCTTCTGTTCACCCCAACTGGTATGTGCTCAAGTCACTGGAACCACTGCTTCCCTCACTACTCTGAAGGCTTGCTCTGCCATCAATCACCCTCCATCTTCCCAGTGGAGTCACCTCTCAACAGGTGACCGACCATAAGCTCCCCTGCTTACAGGTCTTCAGGGGCTTCCAACCATTAGCAAGATGAAGCCTAATTCTTCAGAAGGACATACAGATACATTTTCCAGGCTCAACACATACCACTGCCAGTCTTTTCACTTTACAGTATACCACTGCTCACTTCCTCTTAGCTCAGCTTTCTCCCCTACCTGCAATGTCTTCCCTCCACCCTTTCCCTAGAAAAGATCCACATTTCCTCTAAAGCCCTGCTCCGACTGTACTGATGCCTAGGAAGACAATACCTCTCTACCTTTAGGAACAGAATGAATTCACCATCCGTCTGCCACCTGTGCTGGACATGTAATACTCAACACTTTTTCTACAATATATTCTCAGCACAGTAGCCTGAGTAAACCTTTTGTTAATACATAAGTAAAATCATGTCTGTCCTTCACTCAAAACTTTCAAAGTTATTCTAGCTCTCTCAGAATAAAATCCAGCCTTTGTGGCCCAAGATGATTTCAGCCTCTGCTTCTTCTCTGCCTTCATTTTGTAGTATCTTCCCTTTTCTGTTTCCTTTGGCCACACCAGCCTCACCTTGCTTAAACATGCTGGGTGTAGTCCCACCTCAGGGATTTTGCACTCTGTATTCCCTTTGTCAGGAAGCTTCTTCTCCCAGACAGTTGGTGACTTGCTTTCCATTTCCCTAATTCCTGCTCACACATCCCCTAAAAGGGAGGCCTTCTATAACTGCCTAATTTTAAAGAACAAATCAGAGTAGCCTATTCCCAGTTGTTTTCCAATGGACTATCCCTTGTAAAATACAACCTTGACTATCCCTCCTAAAATAAACCTCTCATCACTCTTTATCCCTTTACCCTGCTTAGTTTTCCTTATAATATTTGTTGCCAGATTATAGTTCTTTACAACTTGCTTAATTAAATCTTCTCTCCCTCTACTAGAATAAAAGTGTTTAAGTCCAGAAGCTATATTCCCAGCATGTAAAACAGTGCCTGGGACATGGGAGCCACTCAATGCATATTTGTTGAATAAATAAATATTAGATTTCTTAAGTTTTTTAACTCTCTAGTAAATCTCTTAGACTTTTAAATCACAGAGGACTTTTTTTTTTTCATATGCTTAGCGGTAAGCACAGTAGTTGGTAGAGACAAGCTAATCAATGTGTTTATTAAACAGAAAAACATTCATATCTTGCTCCTCATTCCCTCCTGTCAATAAAGAGACAAGTGATAACTTTCCACCTACCTCGAAAAACATTCTATATGTCAGGACAGGAAAAGTAATTTTTTGAGAATTTTTTATACCCTACTGACTCATGTCACTCATGTCGATATTGGCGAACCAAAAAAGAAAAACATAAAAAGACAAATTATCTATAATACGATCTATGTCTATAACACTTAGATATTTGCTGGCTATATCATTATCCATAATACTGAAGTTCCATGGACTGAAGCTGCTCATTGGAATTAAAGTAGTGAGCTGACCTATAGATCTTTTTCTATAAATAGCTATTTTAAATGTGTTGTGTAATAATATCAAGTGTTTTACTAGATTTGGGGGAAGGGAGGAGTTAGTTGCATCTTCGTTGATTAAAAGATTTGAAGAGTTGATGGTATCTAAGCTCTGCTGTGGAACAGGAAGAGTAAAGAAACTGTCACCAAATTAAAGAATGATAAATGGAGAGAGAAAGGAGAGAGAAGGTGGGCTCTAGTCCAGTCTTCTCGATGTGATCTATTAAGTCTGATTAATTCGGCCGAAGCTTCAGGTAGATAACGGCAGAGCTGCTCCTAGACTTCCTGTTTTCCACTTTCCTACTTTCCTGTTTATCTTTCACAGGGATGCTCCACACAAAGCAAGTAAGTTGACCAGTCCTTGTCTGAGTGTGAATATACTCCGGGCTTTTTTTTTTTTTTTTTTTTTTTTTTTTTGAGACGGAGTCTCGCTCTGTCGCCCAGGCTGTAGTGCAGTGGCACGATCTCGGCTCACTGCAAGCTTCGCCTCCCTCCCGGGTTCACACCATTCTGTCTCAGCCTCCCGAGTAGCTGGGACTACAGGCGCCCGCCGCCACGCCCGGCTAATTTTTTTTTTTTTTTTTGTATTTTCTTTTTTTTTTAGTAGAGACAGGGTTTCACCGTGTTAGCCAGGATGGATTTGATCTCCTGACATCGCGATCCGCCCACCTCGGCCTCCCAAAGTGCCGGGATTACAGGTGTGAGCCACCACGCCCGGCCTACTCCGGGCTTTTTAAAGTACATTCCTTATAGTCTGAAAGAAGAGAGAAAGTTTAGAGCCAGGATATTCAAATAGAAACCACCATGCTTATAAAGTGGGTTATGGAACCATTAATTGTCTGCTTAGAGCCTCAATTATAAGACCTCTAGGGTACCATTTCAAAAATTAAAGTTCTGAGATGCACTGGTAGCCTGGAAGAGTTTATAGCCTCCAGAAATGCCTAGCCCTCCCACAGGGAAAGGAAAGTACATATTGGTAAGTCAGCCTCATATGGAAGAGTTATCTTTTACCTCTTCCTTTTGACTTCCGGACATGCTAGTATAATGATCATTTGAGTAATATCCTAATAGCTACCAAGTTAGTGAACTCTCAGTTTTTCTTACTGGAATAAAGCACGGGAAACATTTCCCAAGATAAAATGGTTAATTTCTTATTGGCTAGCTGAAAGTGCATGAAACAATCCACCAAGTACACAGCCCCCCTCAAATTTTGCAAATCCTCTAAACAAATGAATCCACCTTAGAATACATTCTGTGGGTTTAATGGAGAGCTCCTAACCTTTCTCTCACTTCATTAATGATAGAAGTGGGGTGGAGTGGGCTCTGAACTGTGCAGATATGCTAACATACCAAACCAGACCCAATAAACAACTTTCTCCTATCTGAAGAAATGGCTTACAGCAAACAAAGCCTAGTGGTCACAGGACATAACCTCGGCAGCAATAACTGTATCCAATGACAACAACAGGAGAAGAATGAGATAAAGTAGAAAAACGCACATAGCCCAAATCTTAGGAATGGGAATAACGAGTCTATTTTATAATAGATACACAGGCAGTCCTCAATGTTTGCAGGTCCTGTTTTGCAAATCTTCTTATTCACTACAATTTATTCCTATGTCCCAAAGTAATACAGCACTTTCATAGTCATTCACTAACCTGTGCAGAGCAGCAAGCAGTTTGAGTCATCTGATACACATGTTCCCAGCTGAGGACAAACAAAGCAATGCTTTGCCTTGTTTCAATTGTCACACTTAAACAAGTGCCCCTTTCATGGTCTATTTAGTGCCATATATAAATTCTTTTGCATTTTTGTGCTTTTCCTTGGTGATTTCACTGTTTAAAATGGCCCCCAGCTGTAGTGCTGAACTGCTGTCTAATGTCCCTAAGCAGAAGGCAGTGATGAGCCTTATAAGAAAATATGCATGTCAGATAAGCTTCACTCAGACGAGTTAGAGTGTTGGTTGAGTGCCACTGGCTGTAAGTGCAATGTTAATCTCTCTTTCTCTCTCTCTCTCTCTCTGTCTCTGTGTGTGTGTGTGTGTGTGCACGTGTGTGAGAGAGAGAATGAGAGTTTTTAAACAGTAACACACATAAAACAAGGATGTATGCTAATAAGCTAATGAAAATAGTGTAACTAGAGACTTACAGGGGACCTAACCATGTATTTCCCCCAGGAGCAAAAGTTCAATATTTGGCAATCCAGTGTGCAGCTAGTTTACAGATCATAACTACTGCAAAAAATGAGGCTAAAGCAAGGCCAAGGGCTTCTCTTAGGCCCCTGCTAATATGACATTTTGACTAATATACTACTATATTAATTGTATCACCATAACATGGCTGTAAATATTATGCTATGTTTAATGCAATCTGAACTCCAGATCAACTACCTTTGTATTCCTTTCACATCCGTTTCCATCAAATATGTCTCAAAATAAACTACAGCAACACAACATATTATTACATTGGCCCATTATTTTGTTAAACTGTCATGGTTTGTTTCACACTCAAAGAGGTACAGATTTGTACTGTGTAAGAGAACAGCACTAGGGTTAGACATAACTTTGACTTGTACCTGGCTATATATTTACTAGTAATATGAACAGGAACAAATAACTTTACCTTTCTGATGCTCAGTTTCCTGAGGTTGTCAGAGGACTAAACACCATACAGAAAATTTCTTTGGCATGTGAATGGCAGATAGTAGGAACTCAATGTTGTTGTTTTTTTTAGATAATTATTGGTAATTATTTTATTATACTATTGGAAATGTTATTTTTCTTTTTAAGAATAATTATTATCACCTCAAGATTTCTGACCTTTATCCTTCCCTCCAGCTATTTGAGCCAATGCATTCATTCATTTAATACTAATAAAGTACCTTTACTGCAACAAAATATGGGCTTATCACTAAAGATACAATGATGAATAAGACCCAGGTTTCACCCCAAAAAAGTTACAATCCAGTGAGGGAAAGCAGAAAAAAAAAAAAAAAAACTATGTTGTTTTTATTTTTATAATGTGTTGGCAGAATATGCAGGATGCTCTGTAAATCATACAGAAGTGGGGAGAAGGGGTTGAGAGAACCCAAGGTATGTGTCATATATTATATATGTTTAGGATGTTGTTGGTGTAAGTATGTCCTGTTCAATATTTGGAACTCATATTTAATCAGGCATCCTATATTCTTATTTGCTAATTCTAATAACTTTTGAAGGGAAAATCAACTTTTAAACCATATATCAAAATAACATCTGTCTTTGTTTTTAACACATTCCACATCTTTAATTTTAATCTAACAGGATTATCGAATCAAAGGTGTTATGTTTTTCAGTTGAATTGATCATTTTCTCTCTCCTACTCAAAACCCGCCAGTACCTTAATGTTGTACTCTTTCTTTATAGTTTGAAAAGTAAGTAAAATGCACTTTTTGTAATTTTTCCTTAAGCATTTAATCAAAAAACAATCAAAAAGGCAAAATATCAAACTTTTTTTCTCGGAAGAATGTTGTATTAGAAAGGAAGGTGCTAAATCTAAAGGGTTTATCTTATTTCTCAAAAATTACAAGTGATTATATACTATATCTCATATTGTCTAAATATGAAAATGTCAATGTCATCCACCAAAAATGTCACAACCTCTCTGTAACTGGTTCTATTTTAAAACATTATACTTAACACAAAGTAGTTGAGGTTATTAGCATTCACTTTTCTCTTTCTGATAGAGATGACAGCTTCCGTCAATGCTGTACCACTCAAGCCCTAGAATTCTTACTATGGCTTTCTCTCATCTAGTCCCCCCACCACATAAGATTCCATTGCTACAGCTTCCAGTAGTAGATTCCGATATACACACAAATGGAATATCCAGCAATAACAGGCATTATCACCATTCACCAATGTCCATGTTGAGGACTGCTATCTAAGAGCAGGAGTCAGCAAACACTGACCTAGAGGAAAAATCCCTCTTGCAGCCTGTTTTCTGTGGCCCACCAGCTAAAAATGGTGTTTACATTTTGAAAAGTGAAATATGAAAATAACTGCTATCCCTGCAGCGAGATTATTGCTCAATGTTGCCCTTTGGCTAGCAATGCTTAAAATATTTACTGTCTGGTCCTTTATAGAAAATTGTGCTAACTGCTGCCCTAAAGATTCACCCAGACCCACAGCAACAAATAACTTGTGTGAGCAAGAAATAAACTTGTGTGAGACAACAAAGATGTGCAGTATTTGTCATAGTTGTAATTTAGAACTTGGTAGCAATAAGCTTCCCTGAGACTCAACTTTCCTGTTATAAAATGGGTGCACATTAAATGAGATGATGTACATGAATTGATAACTAGTAGTCCTAAATGATACAGGATGGTATGCCCATGGTGAGGATGTATGGAAGGGAGGTAAAACAATGAATGGATTACAAAAATATTTTCTATCTACTTCACAGTTTTGCCAAAGTGCAACCTTATCTACAATAAATTAGTTGGCAAATGTTTAAACTCTTCTTTTTTTAAAATTTTAAACTTTTTTCATAATTATTTTAGTACATTTTATTATTACCTATGCTTTTGAAGTTAGTTACATCTATAGTATCTGGTAGAAATATTATATAATAATGTGCTACACGCAGCCCTTCCTAATTCTACATACAGTGACATCACATTGCTAACTTGAAGCTAACCGTGGTAGGAGCATTTACCCCATGGAAATTGGCAAATATTACAAATCAGGGCTTTGTTTATTGTTTTGCTGATTGTCTAGACTAAGAAGCAGAAAGCATGATAATAATACAGAAAAACGTTATAACATACTATCTCTATAGCTGTCACACTGTGAATAGCATAAAAAATGTTGAAGAAATATTCTTCCAGTGTTCCAAAACTATTATCCAATTCAGCAGTTACTCACATCACTGATGAACAAATGAAGTTCCAACACATCTTGGTAATTTCACATTTGTCTTTCTCATTAATGTAAACAAAAACATCAACCAACATTCAAACTACACTTGTTAGTCAATTAAAACCACAGGTTGGGTATAGATGTAAGAGTTTGGCAAAAATTGAAGAACACATTCTGTAAGAGTCCATTGGCTATATGGAATTTATATTTAAAATATTGTTATTTACAAAGTATGTGGGGCATATTCATTACATTAGTGAAATTTCTCTCTCTCTCTCTTTCTTGCTCTCTCGCTCTCACTCTCTTTCTCCCCCTCCCTCTCACTCTCTTTTTCTGGAGAACTGATTTATTTTTGTTTGTTTTGTTTTTGTCCTGTTTTGTGTTTATGTTTAAGAACTGTTAACCAGGGCTTTTGGGATCTACATTGTTACCTTGAAAAGTAACAATTTCCCACAACTGAACATATTGCTACTTAATGAACTAGATATACAGAAAGCCTGAAGATTTTAAATGTGCCTGGGTCTATTACTTTAGATTGAGGAAGAAACATTTTAAAAGACCAATATATATTCTAGCATAAAATCTCTGATCTTCAAGTTAACACTCTTTAATATATACTATTCTACATTCTACTAGAAGTGAGCATTTCAAATTATTAAACATGGATATAATGTTGCTTTAGTTATCTGAAAACTGTAAAAAAGAATTATGTGAAAAGACTACTACTATGGTTAAGTAATTTCTGGTTTATATGAAACATTTGTAAAGATATGAAGTCAAGGCAGTAATTTAGATATTTCAAACTGGTGGTCCACAAGCCGAATTGAAACCACAGGTTTGTTTGTGTTTCAGCTTATTTTGCTTCCATTTATGTGGAGACGAACTCAGTGTCTCACATGAAATGTGAAGATGCAGTAAACTCTTCTTTTTGTCACTTCTTAATTTTTCTAATACATATTTCAGTTAATATTTGGAAGGCACTCTATCAGTTTTGTGGTTCAACACCCACATTTCTGAATGGATAAAGTTGTGCAAAATTTCAAACAAACAAAGAAAACAAAACAAAAAACTATTACTCATTTTTATGTCAACTTTGACAGTCTGAAATTTAGGGAAGATTTCATAGAAAATTTTGCAAAGTAATTTCTGTTCTAGAAATAAGCGTATGGGACCTCAAGCCCTGATTCCTTCACAGAAGGAAGTTTTCTCACCACTTCTGGTTCTCTACCTTATATAAGGTGAGAGATTTTCTAATAGGTATAGTTCTTGGGGCTGATTATTCCCCCAGAGTGCTATTTCTCTTTAGAGGAGTCTGAATCAAATTGGTACCCAGAAGTGTGAGATTTAAGCATTTTAGAAAATGTCCTCTATGACTTCAAAACCCACTACCAACTATCTTTATGTTTTCAGGCTTAGCAATCCTCCTTAATTAAACAATGTATTGGTTACAGGAAACAGTACAAGTGTTTTTCATCTTATTTATAATAATTGACTGACTGCAGGTGGAAAATTTACAAATATTTAGAATAAAGTTCTCGTGTGTGGATAAGATACTGGCATCTCTCAGATAGTACAGAAAATGTGCATAAAGTAACAAAAAGTTCTTGTTAACACAACAGTGCATCACAGACCTAGACTGAGGTCATTGCCATTTTCAGGTGTAATTTCTAACACATCCACATGGATTAATGTCTTGAGTGTGACATGTTGTACAAGGCTTTCCTGTGGGAGAGATTGGGCAACAGTTTTGGAAGAAACAGCTTAGAATTGCTGTTACAAACTTAATGTTCTTAGTGCTCATTGTCTATTTTTAAGCATAACACTTTCTACACTCCTTAAAAAATGATTATATGGAAGCCCTCTCATGGTGCAAGAACAAGATTTTCGTTATGGAAAACTGATATTTAAACAGAGCTGTTTAAAAACTTTAAAAAATATTTCTATCATGCATTGATTTGGTTCCAAATAAAACATACGAGTTAATGTTGAAGAAGAGCTTTGAGGATGTAAAATAGATATATGTTCGTGGGATATTAAGTAATATGCAATTATTTTTTTTGCAGTTTGGATGCCTTTCATATAGAAATGAGTTTTTTCACTGCTTCATAGAAGCACAAATGAAAATGTTCTCCTACTAGCTGGCCCTGGCATAGCTTGCCGGCTCCAACTGTTCCTCAAATGCTCTTTTATTCCAACGATCTGAAGCTCTAAATTTATTCACTAGCCACAACCTTGACATCATCCAGGTCTCTACACTCTCTTTTCAAAATTCTAAGTGTTTTGCTTTCTTATTCCTTACCAAGTTATTACAGGAATCATCAGATAAATCCGTTAGTCCCACAGTTACTCTTCTGCCAGCACTTAAGATTTCCTGTTTCCATGCCTTCCCTCCCTGTAGCTCACACCAAATGCCAACCTGGAATTGCTTACAGCATCTGTCCTATCTGCTCGTGGTGGGTTTAAGTATGCCAAAGAATGCCAAAAAATAAAAGGATTCAGCACTGAGAAACAGAGGGAATGACAAGCAGGAAGTGCTGTAAGCACTGAAGAGTGATGACTTTCCACGGCAGAAACGGGCCAAGTGAGCCTTGAAGAGTGTGTAAGATTGTCATTCACAGATGAAGCTGGGAAGATACAAGCAAAAGCCTCCACAGACACTCATCCTAAGGCATACCTTGAAATTTAAAAGCAGTTACAATTTACTATACTAAAAGCTCAGTCAAGTCACATCTAACTTTGTAACACAAGAAAGGCAACTCGTGGCTGTCACAGTCAAACATCAACAAATCTAAGGAAAGAATCATAAATAATGAGAGATATATTCATTTCTCTACTGAGGTTTGAAAGAGCTAGATCCTAGTTGCAGTTTGCAAGGAAGTGCCAGAAATCAGCATGTCGTCCACTCAGCATCCGCCTCCCTATTCTATTTCCTAACTTTGTCCAGATTTTCATTCAGGTGTTCACTCCTCCCACATGCAGGAGAAGCTAGCTCATGAATTAATCAGTATAATCCATGCCATTGCCTATTCTATGACTGGCATATGAAGTCAGAGAGGACAAGTGCCCTAACTCAGTCCCGTTCCAGGACACGCTTAGAGATGAGGATGGCAGTTCTTTCTCATGAAGTGAATGCCAATATGAAAAATGGAAACCCCAGTGGCAGCAGGAGCTGACTGATGACTTTGACAGAATGTTCAAGTGTCTAAATGTCTTCTAAGGACTTTGCCTTGTCCTAACAAACTCCCTTTTATGACAACAGAAACTCTTGAGTTTAGTGTGAATTTGGATCTCTGACAACTAAGCAGATGTGGAAACAAACTCTTTTTTAATCTTAAAACCAATAATCCATATCCTTAATAATTCCATAAGAACCACATGGATAGTCAGCTGAATTTGCTCACAAGTAGACTTTACTGTAAACTGTGGCTGCCTTTGCCCTCAAAACATGTGTGTATGTGTTTCTGTGTGTGTGTGTGTGTGTGTGTGTGTGACAATTAAGGATTGTGGATATACTATGTTAATTTTTGTTTCCTTACTCAAATACATTTCCAGAATCAATAAATAAATGCTGAATGAATACACAAATGAATTCATAGAAATAAAATTAAAACACAAGGCTTTCTATATAGGCACTTTAGATCCTCTACCCTGCATTCTATTATGCTAACAAATAATCCAATTCATGGGAGAACTATGAGAAGATTTAAATAACTAGGATTTTGAGAAAAAGTCTCTGGATGGCAATGAAATTAAAAAACAGATAAAGTAATATCATAAAGAATATGGCACACATATATTTACAAATGGGACAATATATTAGTTCATTTTAATGCTGCTGATAACAACATAACCGAAACTGGGAACAAAAAGAGGTTTAGTTGAACTTACAGTTCCACGTGGCTGGGGAGGCCTCAGATTCATGGCGGGAAATGAAAAGTACCTCTTACATGGCAGCAGCAAGGGGAAAAATGAGGAAGAAGCAAAAGCAGAAACCCCTGATAAACCCATCAGATCTCATGAGACTTACTCACTATCATGAGAGTAGCACAAGAAAGACCAACCTCCATGATTCAATTCCTCCCACAACACATGGGATTTCTGGGAGACACAATTCAAGTTGAGATTTGGGTGGGGACACAGCCAAACCAGGTCAGACAATAAGATGTTTTAAATGCCATCCTCAGGTGTTTGTAGGTATATGTAAGAAATCAGACAGTTCACCCTCAATTAAAAGGGTATCATGACTGTTGTATTTAAGCATGTACTGAGTGAGGGCTCTAATGGCAGGGACAAAAGCAGCCCAAGTGACTAGCAGGAAAGGACCAGAAGCTGGGAAAGACATCCAAAGGCCAGAGCTGGACAATATTTGATCATTAGCTGCACAGGTTGTCTAGTGGCTTCTAAGAACTCACCAGGAGCAGAAAGAACAGGAGAAACAAATTGGCAAATTAGGAGGAAACATGGCAGCCAGCTTATGGTATTCCATATCTTGAAGCTATCCTTAAAGTACGGCCACCTGGGGCAACTGGTCTAAGCTCTTCAGTGACTCAAGAAAGCATATAGAAGATGACATCCTTCTTTCTAACCAGTACTACAAAGTTAGAAATATTTGAGCACAGTCTACCCCAACACATCTGAGACAATAGGTTTAACTGCATTTTACCCTCCAATACACCTTCTTTAGGCAGAAGTTGATTTGAACTACAAGATTTCCCCAAGGACAGCCCTGGCTCTCTGGAACTCTAAGGGGGCTTCTGGAATGCATTTGATTTATTTATTTGTCATGATCACCATTACTGGTTCTATGGTTCAGTTAATACAGGGTACAAACTAAGTTTATGTGAGACTTGGTCCACAAAGATGCCAGTTCTGTTTCTCAACTATTTTAACTTGAATAATTTAAAGACCTGATACGTTATCAATTGTCCTTCAGCTTCAAACTATATCAACATTGTGTTCTTTCACATAAAAGTTTCTTTTTAGCCTTCATTTTCTGTGATAAATGGCCATACATCCCTGTTAACTGACTGGGATTACCCAGCATATGGAATGCCAGACCTTCCCTCTTTGAAATACAATTTCCTTTTGGCTTTTTGCCCAAACACAGTTAAGTGGTATTAGCTCCCCAGGCAGACCTCATCGTCTTTGAGTTAAATACAGTAAGAAGCGCTGATGCTTCTCTTTCACTAATATCTTTGCTCTGTAATCCTTTATTTTATGACCTGCCCCTGGCTGCTCCCTGAGCTAAGAATTTGCTGTTCATAAAGCGGGGTGACAAGTCTCATCACCTTATGATAAAGAAAGTGGTGTTACTTTAGCTTTCACATGAGCAATCAGGACACAATGTGAATGTAGATGCCCTAGGCTACTATCTGATCCAATGTGAAAGTAAAACATTATGCTTTCATGAAACCTGAGGAAAAAAATCTAGATTTTTGTTGTTTTAATCTTTTACTCCTAAAGTGATGCAGACAGAATCAACCATAGAGAGTCAGGCTGCAGCAGCACGAGGGCATCAGTGTCATCATCTCACAAGCCATTGCAACCTTCCTCGGATTAACGCATCGAAAGCAGGTTGACAAGAAATGCAACTTGGGTTGGTGTTCATAATCCTCCAATTGCCTAGCAATGTTTAGATCAGGAAGGAAAAAAAATTATAAATCTGTATTTTTCATCCTAGCAGACTCAATCTTGTATATATTATGTTTAACACAGACTATTTATAAAATAAGTCCTCTGTGTCAGGCACATCTTAAAGCACTTCACAAATATTAACTTATTAAATCATCATGATAACTGTATAGAATAGGTTCTAAATTACCACAGTTTTTACAGATGAAGAAGCTGAAGCACAGAGAGATTAAGTAAGTTGCCCAAGGTCACAGAGCTTGTAAATGGCAGAGCCAGACAATCTGGCTCCAAAGTCTATATGCTCCTCCACTGCAATATGTTGTCTGTCTCTATAAAGCAGTGTTGAATGTAAACCCCAGGCTTTAAAATTTTTGATTAACACTAGTTAAGTTTTGTTAAGAAATAATAATAGTGGGAGGAGCCAAGATGGCCGAATAGGAACAGCTCCGGTCTACAGCTCCCAGCATGAGCGACGCAGAAGACGGGTGATTTCTGCATTTCCATCTGAGGTAATGGGTTCATCTCCCTAGGGAGTGCCAGACAGTGGGCGCAGGCCAGTGGGTGCGCGAGCCGAAGCAGGGCGAGGCATTGCCTCACTTGGGAAGCGCAAGGGGTCAGGGAGTTCCTTTTCCGAGTCAAAGAAAGGGGTGAGGGACGCACCTGAAAAATCGGGTCACTCCCACCCGAATATTGTGCTTTTCAGACCAGCTTAAAAAACGGCGCACCACGAGACTATATCCCACACCTGGCTCGGAGGGTCCTACGCCCACGGACTCTCGCTGATTGCTAGCACAGCAGTCTGAGATCAAACTGCAAGGAGGCAGCAAGGCTGGGGGAGGGGCGCCAACCATTGCCCAGGCTTGCTTAGGTAAACAAAGCAGCCAGGAAGCTCCAACTGGGTGGAGCCCACCACAGCTCAAGGAGGCCTGCCTCCCTCTGTAGGATCCACCTCTGGGGGCAGGGCACAGACAAACAAAAAGACAGCAGTAACCTCTGCAGACTTAAATGTCCCTGTCTGACAGCTTTGAAGAGAGCAGTGGTTCTCCCAGCACGCAGCTGGAGATCTGAGAACGGGCAGACTGCCTCCTCAAGTGGGTCCCTGACCCCTGACCCCCGAGCAGCCTAACTGGGAGACACCCCCCAGCAGGGGCACACTGACACCTCACACGGCAGGGTATTCCAACAGACCTGCAGCTGAGGGTCCTGTCTGTTAGAAGGAATACTAACAAACAGAAAGGACATCCACACCGAAAACCCATCTGTACATCACCATCATCAAAGACCAAAAGTAGATAAAACCACAAAGATGGGGAAAAAACAGAACAGAAAAACTGGAAACTCTAAAAAGCAGAGCACCTCTCCTCCTCCAAAGGAACGCAGTTCCTCACCAGCAACGGAACAAAGCTGGATGGAGAATGATTTTGACGAGCTGAGAGAAGAAGGCTTCAGA
This sequence comes from Homo sapiens, assembly GCF_000001405.40. Taxonomy (NCBI): domain Eukaryota; kingdom Metazoa; phylum Chordata; class Mammalia; order Primates; family Hominidae; genus Homo; species Homo sapiens. Next base: position 93,495,500 of record NC_000013.11, on the reverse strand, counting down.
CGATCAAATTACTCTGAGCTATGGGAGGACATTCAAACCAAAGGCAAAGAAGTTGAAAACTTTGAAAAAAATTTAGAAGAATGTATAACTAGAATAACCAATACAGAGAAGTGCTTAAAGGAGCTGATGGAGCTGAAAACCAAGGCTCGAGAACTACGTGAAGAATGCAGAAGCCTCAGGAGCTGATGCGATCAACTGGAGGAAAGGGTATCAACAATGGAAGATGAAATGAATGAAATGAAGTGAGAAGGGAAGTTTAGAGAAAAAAGAATAAAAAGAAATGAGCAAAGCCTCCAAGAAATATGCGACTATGTGAAAAGACCAAATCTACGTCTGATTGGTGTACCTGAAAGTGATGCGGAGAATGGAACCAAGTTGGAAAACACTCTGCAGGATATTATCCAGGAGAACTTCCCCAATCTAGCAAGGCAGGCCAACGTTCAGATTCAGGAAATACAGAGAACGCCACAAAGATACTCCTCAAGAAGAGCAACTCCAAGACACATAATTGTCAGATTCACCAAAGTTGAAATGAAGGAAAAAATGTTAAGGGCAGCCAGAGAGAAAGGTCGGGTTACCCTCAAAGGGAAGCCCATCAGACCAACAGCGGATCTCTCGGCAGAAACCCTACAAGCCAGAAGAGAGTGGGGGCCAATATTCAACATTCTTAAAGAAAAGAATTTTCAACCCAGAATTTCATATCCAGCCAAACTAAGCTTCATAAGTGAAGGAGAAATAAAATACTTTACACACAAGCAAATGCTGAGAGATTTTGTCACCACCAGGCCTGCCCTGAAAGAGCTCCTGAAGGAAGTGCTAAACATGGAAAGGAACAACCGGTACCAGCCGCTGCAAAATCATGCCAAAATGTAAAGACCATTGAGACTAGGAAGAAACTGCATCAACTAACGAGTAAAATCACCAGCTAACATCATAATGACAGGATCAAATTCCCACATAACAATATTAACTTTAAATGTAAATGGACTAAATTCTCCAATTAAAAGACACAGACTGGCAAGCTGGATAAAAAGTCAAGACCCATCAGTGTGCTGTATTCAGGAAACCCATCTCACGTGCAGAGACACACATAGGCTCAAAATAAAAGGATGGAGGAAGATCTACCAAGCAAATGGAAAACAAAAAAAGGCAGGGGTTGCAATCCTAGTCTCTGATAAAACAGACTTTAAACCAACAAAGATCAAAAGAGACAAAGAAGGCCATTACATAATGGTAAAGGGATCAATTCAACAAGAGGAGCTAACTATCCTAAATATATATGCACCCAATACAGGAGCACCCAGATTCATAAAGCAAGTCCTGAGTGACCTACAAAGAGACTTAGACTCCCACACATTAATAATGGGAGACTTTAACACCCCACTGTCAACATTAGACAGATCAACGAGACAGAAAGTCAACAAGGATACCCAGGAATTGAACTCAGCGCTGCACCAAGCGGACCTAATAGACATCTACAGAACTCTCCACCACAAATCAACAGAATATACATTTTTTTCAGCATCACACCACACCTATTCCAAAATTGACCACAGAGTTGGAAGTAAAGCACTCCTCAGCAAATGTAAAAGAACAGAAATTATAACAAACTATCTCTCAGACCACAGTGCAATCAAACTAGAGCTCAGGATTAAGAATCTCACTCAAAGCCGCTCAACTACATGGAAACTGAACAACCTGCTCCTGAATGACTACTGGGTACATAACGAAATGAAGGCAGAAATAAAGATGTTCTTTGAAACCAACGAGAACAAAGACACAACATACCAGAATCTCTGGGACGCATTCAATGCAGTGTGTAGAGGGAAATTTATAGCACTAAATGCCCACAAGAGAAAGCAGGAAAGATCCAAAATTGACACCCTAACATCACAATTAAAAGAACTAGAAGAGCAAGAGCAAACAAATTCAAAAGCTAGCAGAAGGCAAGAAATAACCAAGATCAGAGCAGAACTGAAGGAAATAGAGACACAAAAAACCCATCAAAAAATCAAGGAATCCAGGAGCTGGTTTTTTGAAAGGATCAACAAAATTGATAGACCGCTAGCAAGACTAATAAAGAAAAAAAGAGAGAAGAATCAAATAGACACAATAAAAAATGATAAAGGGGATATCACCACCGATCCCACAGAAATACAAACTACCATCAGAGAATACTACAAACACCTCTACGCAAATAAACTAGAAAATCTAGAAGAAATGGATACATTCCTCGACACATAAACTCTCCCAAGACTAAACCAGGAAGAAGTTGAATCTCTGAATAGACCAATAACAGGAGCTGAAATTGTGGCAATAATCAATAGTTTACCAACCAAAAAGAGTCCAGGACCAGATGGATTCACAGCCAAATTCTACCAGAGGTACAAGGAGGAACTGGTACCATTCCTTCTGAAACTATTCCAATCAATAGAAAAAGAGGGAATCCTCCCTAACTCATTTTATGAGGCCAGCATCATTCTGATACCAAAGCCAGGCAGAGACACAACCAAAAAAGAGAATTTTAGACCAATATCCTTGATGAACATTGATGCAAAAATCCTCAATAAAATACTGGCAAACCGAATCCAGCAGCACATCAAAAAGCTTATCCACCATGATCAAGTGGGCTTCATCCCTGGGATGCAAGGCTGGTTCAATATATGCCAATCAATAAATGTAATCCAGCATATAAACAGAGCCAAAGACAAAAACCACATGATTATCTCAATAGATGCAGAAAAAGCCTTTGACAAAATTCAACAACCCTTCATGCTAAAAACTCTCAGTAAATTAGGTCTTGATGGGACGTATTTCAAAATAATAAGAGCTATCTATGACAAACCCACAGCCAATATCATACCGAATGGGCAAAAACTAGAAGCATTCCCTTTGAAAACTGGCACAAGACAGGGATGCCCTCTCTCACCACTCCTATTCAACATAGTGTTGGAAGTTCTGGCCGGGGCAATCAGGCAGGAGAAGGAAATAAAGGGTATTCAATAGGGAAAAGAGGAAGTCAAATTGTCCCTGTTTGCAGACGACATGATTGTTTATCCAGAAAACCCCATCGTCTCAGCCCAAAATCTCCTTAAGCTGATAAGCAACTTCAGCAAAGTCTCAGGATACAAAATCAATGTAGAAAAATCACAAGCATTCTTATACACCAACAACAGACAAACAGAGAGCCAAATCATGAGTGAACTCCCATTCACAATTGCTTCAAAGAGAATTAAATACCTAGGAATCCAACTTACAAGGGATGTGAAGGACCTCTTCAAGGAGAACTACAAACCACTGCTCAAGGAAATAAAAGAGGATACAAACAAATGGAAGAACATTCCATGCTCATGGGTAGGAAGAATCAATATGGTGAAAATGGCCATACTGCCCAAGGTAATTTACAGATTCAATGCCATCCCCATCAAGCTACCAATGACTTTCTTCACAGAATTGGAAAAAACTACTTTAAAGTTCATATGGAACCAAAAAAGAGACCGCATCGCCAAGTCAATCCTAAGCCAAAAGAACAAAGCTGGAGGCATCACACTACCTGACTTCAAACTATACTACAAGGCTACAGTAACCAAAACAGCATGGTACTGGTACCAAAACAGAGATAAAGATCAATGGAGCAGAACAGAGCCCTCAGAAATAACGCCGCATACCTACAACTATCTGATCTTTGACAAACCTCAGAAAAATAAGCAATGGGGAAAGGATTCCCTATTTAATAAATGGTGCTGGGAAAACTGGCTAGACATATGTAGAAAGCTGAAACTGGATCCCTTCCTTACACCTTATACAAAAATCAATTCAAGATGGATTAAAGACTTAAACATTAGACCTAAAACCATAAAAACCCTAGAAGAAAACCTAGGCATTACCATTCAGGACACAGGCGTGGGCAAGGACTTCATGTCCAAAACACCAAAAGCAATGGCAACAAAAGCCAAAATTGACAAATGGGATCTAATTAAACTAAAGAGCTTCTGCACAGCAAAAGAAACTACCATCAGAGTGAACAGGCAACCTACAACATGGGAGAAAATTTTCGCAACCTACTCATCTGACAAAGGGCTAATATCCAGAATCTACAATGAACTCAAACAAATTTACAAGAAAAAAACAAACAACCCCATCAAAAAGTGGGCGAAGGACATGAACAGACACTTCTCAAAAGAAGACATTTATGCAGCCAAAAAATACATGAAAAAATGCTCACCATCACTGGCCATCAGAGAAATGCAAATCAAAACCACAATGAGATACCATCTCACACCAGTTAGAATGGCAATCATTAAAATGTCAGGAAACAACAGGTGCTGGAGAGGATGTGGAGAAATAGGAACACTTTTACACTGTTGGTGGGACTGTAAACTAGTTCAACCATTGTGGAAGTCAGTGTGGCGATTCCTCAGGGATCTAGAACTAGAAATACCATTTGACCCAGCCATCCCATTACTGGGTATATACTCAAAGGACTATAAATCATGCTGCTATAAAGACACATGCACACATATGTTTATTGCGGCATTATTCACAATAGCAAAGACTTGGAACCAACCCAAATGTCCAACAATGATAGACTGGATTAAGAAAATGTGGCACATATACACCATGGAATACTATGCAGCCATAAAAAATGATGAGTTCATGTCCTTTGTAGGGACATGGATGAAATTGGAAACCATCATTCTCAGTAAACTATCGCAAGAACAAAAAACCAAACACCGCATATTCTCACTCATGGGTGGGAATTGAACAATCAGATCACATGGACACAGGAAGGGGAATATCACACTCTGGGGACTGTGGTGGGGTGGGGGGAGGGGGGAGGGATAGCACTGGGAGATATACCTAATGCTAGATGACGAGTTAGTGGGTGCAGCGCACCAGCATGGCACATGTATACATATGTAACTAACCTGCACAACGTGCACATGTACCCTAAAACTTAAAGTATAATAATAAAAAAAAAAAAAACTCAAAAAAAAAAAAGAAAAAAAAATCACTCAAGTTGAAAAAAAAAAAAAAAAAGAAATAATAATAGTGGACCAACTTCAAAACATGGATTAAAAATAGTGTGTATATGTAAGTACATCATATATATGTTATAGATTTTATTTTTATTAACTTGTAAAAGCCTTGGCAGTGTGATAAGGTTGAGAAGACAGATTATAGTACTTTGTCTCTAAAATTTTCAGTAAATATAACAGATTCAAAACAATTTAATTTTAATTTGGTAAACAGAACCAAAGACAAAAACCACATGATTATCTCAATAGAGGCAGAAAAGGCCTTTGACAAAATTCAACAGCCCTTCGTGCTAAAAACTCTCAATAAATTAGGTATTGATGGGACATATCTCAAAATAATAAGAGCTATTTATGACACACCCACAGCCAATATCATACTGAATGGGCAAAAACTGGAAGCATTCCCTTTGAAAACTGGCACAAGACAGGGATGCCCTCTCTCACCACTCCTATTCAACATAGTGTTGGAAGTTCTGGCCAGGGCCATCAGGCAGGAGAAAAAAATAAAGGGTATTCAATTAGGAAAAGAGGAAGTCAAATTGTCCCTGTTTGCAGATGACATGATTGTATATTTAGAAAACCCCATCATCTCAGCCCAAAATCTCCTTAAGCTGATAAGCAACTCCAGCAAAGTCTCAGGATACAAAATCAATGTGCAAAAATCACAAGCATTCTTATACACCAATAACAGACAGAGAGCCAAATCATGAGTGAACTCCCATTCACAATTGCTTCAAAGAGAATAAAATACCTAGGAATCCAACTTACAAGGGACGTGAAGGACCTCTTCAAGGAGAACTACAAACCACTGCTCAACAAAATAAAAGAGGACACAAACAAATGGAAGAACATTCCATGCTCATGGATAGGAAGAATCAATATTGTGAAAATGGCCATACTGCCCAAGGTAATTTATAGATTCAATGCCATCCCCATCAAGCTACCAATGACTTTCTTCACAGAATTGGAAAAAACTACTTTAAAGTTCATATGAAACCAAAAAAGAGCCCACATTGCCAAGACAATCCTAAGCCAAAAGAACAAAGCTGGAGGCATCACACTACCTGTCTTTAAACTATACTACAAGGCTACAGTAACCAAAACAGCATGGTACTGGTACCAAAACAGAGATATAGACCAGTGGAACAGAACAGAGCCCTCAGAAATAATACCACACATCTACAACCATCTGATCTTTGACAAACCTGACAAAAGCAAGAAATAGGGAAAGGATTCCGTATTTAGTAAATGTCACTGGGAAAACTGGCTAGCCATATGTAGAAAGCTGAAACTGGATCCTTTCCTTACACCTTATACAAAAATTAATTCAAGATGGATTAAAGACTTAAATGTTAGACCTAAAACCATAAAAACCCTAGAAGAAAACCTAGGCAATACAATTCAGGACATAGGCATGGGCAAGGACTTCATGACTAAAACACCAAGAGCAATGGCAACAAAAGCCAAAATTGACAAATGGGATCTAATTAAACTAAAGAGCTTCTGCACAGCAAAAGAAACTACCATCAGCGGGAACAGGCAACCTATAGAATGGGAGAAAATTTTTGCAATCTACTCATCTGACAAAGGTCTAATATCCAGAATCTACAAAGAATTCAAACACACGTACAAGAAAAAAACAAACAACCCCATCAAAAAGTGGGCAAAGTATATGAACAGATACTTCTCAAAAGAAGATATTTATGCAGCCAAAAAATACATGAAAAAATGCTCATCATCACTGGCCATCAGAGAAATGCAAATCAAAACCACACTGAGATACCATCTCACACCAGTTAGAATGGCGATCATTAAAAAGTCAGGAAACAACAGGTGCTGGAGAGGATGTGGAGAAATAGGAACACTCTTACACTGTTGGTGGGAGTGTAAACTAGTTCAACCATTGTGGAAGACAGTGTGGCGACTCCTCAAGGATCTAAAACTAGAAATACCATTTGACCTAGCCATCCCATTACTGGGTATATAGCCAAAGGATTATAAATCATGCTGCTATAAAGACACATGCACACGTATGTTTATTGCAGCACTATTCACAATAGCAAAGACTTGGATCCAACCCAAATGTCCATCAATGATAGACTAGATTAAGAAAATGTGGCACATGTACACCATGGAATACTATGCAGCCATAAAGAAGGATGAGTTCACATCCTTTGTAGGGACATGGATGAAGCTGGAAACCATCATTATGAGCAAACTATCGCAAGGACAAAAAACCAAACACCACATGTTCTCACTAATAGTTGGGATTTGAACAATGAGAACACTTGGACACAGGAAGGGGAACATCACACACCGGGGCCTGTTGTGGGGTGAAAGGAGGGGGGAGGGATAGCATTAGGCGATATACCTAATGTAAATGACGAGTTAGTGGGTGCAGCACACCAACTTGGCACATGTATACATATGTAACAAACCTGCACGTTGTGCACATGTACCCTAGAACTTAAAGTATAATAAAAAAGTGTGTATATGTAAATAAATAATATATATGTTATAGATTTTGTTTATTTTTATTGTTTAACTTGTAAATGCCTTGGCAGTATGATGAGGTAGAGAAGATAGATGATAGTACTTTGTCTCTAAAATTTTCAGTAAATAAAACAGATTCAAAACAATTTTAATTTTAATTTGGTTTTGATAAGCTTAAGTGACTACTATTATTTCCCCTAGAACATGCGGATTTCACGTTACTGCTTCTACAAAATGAAGAAAGAAAAATATCATGTTTTTAAATGTCATCCTACTTCTTTCCTGAACAGCACAGTGTTCCAATACAAATGATGTGGTCAAGTAAAAGCAACAAGGGGTATGGACAGGGAAGATACATGATCAACCCTCAATCCAAAACTGTTCTTTTTCAACTTTCTGTGTCTTCCTTACCCCCTCGTTCCTCCTCCAAATATAGTTCTACACTCATGTTACCCAAGGGTTTCTTAAAGGTATTCCTTCAGATAATAACAGCAATAATATTAAGAAATTATTAATAACACACGTTTACTAGCAGGCGCTATGTTAATGAACACACAGAGGAGAAAATACACATTGGGGCCTGTCTGAGGGTAGAGGATGGGAGAAGGGAGAAGATTAGGAAAAATAACTAGGCTTAGTACCTGGGTAATGAAAACAGTCTGTACAACACAATCCTATGACATACGTTTACCTATGTAGCAAACCTGGACATATATCCCTGAACTTAAAATAAAAGTTAAAAAAAAATTTAAAAATTTAAAAGAATCTTGCAATAATGATCTCCTTCAATACTCATATTTGGACTGTGATGTTATGAAAATGACAGTCAAGATATTTAACACTAGTTAGAATGGCCTCTGGCCACAAACAATGAATAAGGGAGTGAGCAAACTGCGAGGTATCAGCCCTGCTGTAAGTGTGTGTATATTATTTTCATCACACCAGTTTATGCTTGACTTTGAGATGGTCTCTTTGTTTTTTTGTTTTTTTGTGTTTTTTGGGGTTTTTTTGTTTTTTTTTTTTTTGAGATGGAGTCTCGCTCTGTCGCCAGGCTGGAGTATGGTGGCACGATCTCAGCTTACTGCAACCTCCAACTCCCTGGTTCAAGCTATTCTCCTGCCTCAGGCTCCCAAATAGCTGGGATTACAGGCGCATGCCACCACACCCAGCTAATTTTTGTATTTTTAGTAGAGATGGGTTTTCACCATGTTGGCCAGGATGGTCTCGATCTCCTGACCTCGTGATCCACCTGCCTTGGCCTCCCAAAGTGCTGGGATTACAGGTGTGAGCCACCGTGCCCGGCCAAGATGGTCTCTTACACTATGGAGTTAATAGATTTGTTTTGGAAAAGAGCAGTCAGTTGCCAAAATATTTAGAAATCACTGCATATTGTTTTTCCTATTTTGGATATAAACAATGTTTATTAGCACATCAATGGCTGCTGAGAAACTAATGGATGTTCAGAAATCTCTTTTACTTTATTAAATCCAGAGTTTTTGTGACTTCATTGGTTAGAAAATAAATTCTTCATGTATCACCTGTTAACAGTATTCCAAAAACACAGTTTGGGAATTGTGCATCTATAAAAATATTTATGTTTCTTAAAAATAAAATCTTCCTTGACCACTGCAGGCCATGAACATTTGGAGCTACATATGTCTCTTCCTTGTCATGTATAATTCCTCAGAATATAATCTACCTTCACTGTGACATTTGCTCACCTCCCATCCTCTCCTGAGTTCAGTTCTACCCAACTGAAATGATTCCTGTTGAGCCACCAACACCACATTATTGACACATCCCACAGATTACTTTAGATTATTTTCTTACCACTTGTCTCTACTACACTGAGGGATATCTTTATTTTTGAAATTCTCTTTCTTGGTCACATTCATGCAACAATTTTCTTGCTTGGCTTATTATTTTCTCCGCCTTTTATGCCTATTCTTCCTCCACCTACCCTAAAGTGTACATATTTCCCAGGTTTCCATAGTTAGTCATTTTCTCTTCTTAATTCCAAGTTTATCCAAGAAAGATAACAGATAATGATCTTGCTGATATAATAATCTGTCTTAAGTCTGAATTCCATTCCAGATCTCTTCCCTGAGCTTCAGAATCATATACCCCATCATTACCTGGACAAATATATATGAAGAACTGCAAAAATCTCAAACCTGACAGGTACAACAGCTACAAGAATAAACTAACCATTACTGTACCCCACCTCCTGCCTGAACCCCATCAAACCGCCTCACCTGTTTTCACTAGTGGCATCACTGTCCACCTGGTGGATTGTACCAGGAATCTGAGGGTCATTTTGCTTTCTCAACACTCAATTAAACTTATTCATAAACAAATTTGGAACATGTCCAAGGTAACTATATAAATTATCTACGAAATCAAGAAACTTTGGGGGACTAAAGGAGTGTACAGAGAGCTATTAATAATGAAAATGAAGTAAATAGCATAAACAAGACTATGTCCAGCATCTGAGATGAATGGTCATGTAATATTTTCCATCTTCTCAAGAGCCCGAAATCTGTCCCTTACTACGACTCCTGACTGGTCATCAGATCTAATGGGATCCTCCCAACTCTATCTAACATGAGCTATCAGAATGGGTCTACTGAACCTCAAGTTTGGCTGGATTATGCTTTTGGCTAGAACAAAATCTTATGATGCCACCGCCTGTCCCACATAAGCTTTTTTTCCACCTGTGCTTTCATACCTGTGGGACTCCCCTTTGTGCTAGAATGTCCTTCTCTTCCTTCTCATAAATTCATTATTTGGTTAATTTTAGTCGTATTTTAAAACTTAGTCCAAGAATTAATTCCTTTAAAAAGCCTTCCATTACTGTTGTTCTTCTCCAGATAGAACATCTCCAGGGGGGGCTAACTGCCCCTTCTTTGTGTTATCACATCAAGCTGTAAATACCTCTTTGCCTTTACCATACTGCTGTTTAATAATTCCTGACTTGGAAACTATAAGAAAATTTGTGTTTATTACATATGCTGTATGTATATTTTAATGTATTTATTTATTGAAGAATAACTCTACAAATTCATTAGATCTTTGAAAGTAATGCACAATTAATGTTTCTTAAATATTGATGAGTGCTTTAAAATGAAAGTACATTTCCCTAAAATTTCTGTCATAGCAATAGTCATCGCTAACACAGAATTGACAAATTCAAAGAATTTTTGAGTTACTAAGCTATAATTATCTGTATTTCATTATCATTTAATTTATTATATACATACATTCAATTTAATAGACTACAAGAAATTAAGCAATATTTCAAGTTTGACATTGTTTTCAAAGGCAAAGATTCAAATGTATTTTAAATAAAATGGTAATTCAAAAAAGTATAACTAGTAATATAAAACCTGCAAAAAAGAGAAAATGGTTATGATAATATGCAAGGAAGTATTATCTTAACATGGAAAAACTTAAGGATATATTATTCTAAGCAGAAAATTATAATATTCCCAAAAGAGGTTCACAGCATACTCGGGATTAGAGACAAAAATCTTTCAGAATATACAGCCTTTTGTCAAATTGATTTCTGTGAGATTACAAACAAATACCAGTGAGACAATTTGCATAAGGTATACTGACATACCTGATTTAACTAGGGTATCTGTTTCACAACAATTAATTATAGATTCTTGGAGAACTAAAAACAGTTTCACTTCCTAAAGTGATAAAAATATCCTACAGAAAATGATATCTGTTATTAAAACAAGGATGATAATGTAAAGAATGAACTACATTTTACATCAAGTAGTGAGAGAATAACCCAAAAAAACTGTTGCTATGGCAGATGCTGAAGGAGATAACACACCCTGGATCCATAAGCACCACATTTTCTGAAATATTTACAAAATTTTAATACTTTTTTTGTACAAAAGTGCATCTTTTCCCAGGATTAAGTTAAAACCAATTTGCTCTAAGAGTCTAAACAAGGAAAATAGTTAAATGATTCAAAACCCACTGTAAAGAATACACCTTGGTGAGTGTTCTGTTTTCTACACAAATAAGTCTTGTGACATTCAAATACAGGGCACACAATATGTAGCTAATTTCCAAATAAGTTATTCCAGCATTAGCTGTGTTAGGGAGAAATGTGATCTAATATAATTTTAGTCACACTGACAATTGAAACAACACTCTGTGGGCTAATAGCACAATGCAGCCACCATTTAGAAACACTGTTTCTACCATGAGCCGCATTCTTATTGCCGAATGATTAATTAAAACATAAAACCACATATGACTAAACATTATTTTAGGGCTCTTTTTATTACTAAATTACACTACAAACATATATGCTATCACATTTGGAAATAGCAAGTCAATTTTAAAATATAATAATTTAAGTTAGAATTATTGCAGGATAGCATAAAGCCTGCAAATCGATTGGAAGTTTATTATTAAAAGTATCTTAGATATAATTGAATAGATGACTGAATGGATAGAAATAATCAGATATTGGTAAAAACTAGAAAATTAACATTCTAATTTCTATATAATAACTAATGATTTATTACTTTTTACAACACAAAGTATATCAAACCAGTAAGTACTTATCTAGTTAAAAGCATCTCTGCTACATGATTATTGACTGATAAGTTTCACAATAGTAATCATATCAGTTAACTAAAAAAGCACAGTGATTTCAATATATTGGTTTAATTGAGAACCTAAAGTTTTTTGTCCAATTTCTAATAAAATGATACATCAGTGAAAGGTGGGACTCCAGGATTTAATTATGAGAAATCAAACTACGTATGTCTCCATGCCCTTGCTAAAATGAAAATGAAGATTATGCATTAAAGAAATATTTAATAAAACAATTGCCAGTATTGTAACATGCATGTACGAAGTGATCAAAGTCAGAAAATCTCCACCTGGCTATCAGGATGAGTGCCTGTCTGTCATGGGTAACACTGAGCCAAGTCCTTAGGCTCTTGGTCACATTTACGGTCTCCTAAGGAAAACCAGCTATGCACTCTTGTACTCTAAAATGCAAGCAGACTTACAGACCACAAAGCACGTTTCAAAAATGCACGTAACAAAGACATCTTAAATAGATTTAGAAAACCTCCATATGGTAAATTGCGTAAAATGAAAATAAATACTATTTGATTATTACAAACGTACTTGCTACACAACTCTTTGTTTCATACATCTCAATTTGGGGTCTATAATTTCCTGTAACAAAAAGGAAAATACAAAATATATGAATCCCAGTATATTTTAAACATTCCATGCCACCTGGTGCTTTTGTTTCTTTTCTTTTATTTTCTGTGGTTTTGCCTTCTATTCCTGAGCAAGAGATTTCTTACCCATTAACTTAGGCCTATGAATCAAGTAGAATGCAACTAATATACCTCTAAATTTAACTTTATTTCTTCATGATAGGTTACTTTTGATTTGATTAATATAAACTGCATTGTGCTATATTTTAGGATCCTCTATGAACAGATTCTCAAATTAACTGTAGTAAAATATAGGAGAAACAACGAATTAGTTGGCATTTTATCTTTGGTGAATTAATTCTTGTTTTTAATTAGACCCTCAGAAGGGCAATTAAGCAAGGAAAAGAAATTAAAAAGCATCCAGTTTGGAAAGGAAGAAATAAAGATACAATATTCAGAGATGTATAATCTTGTATATAGAAAATCCTTAAAATTTGTTAATTATATAATTAATAAATGAGTTTAGCAAGGCTGTTAATTCTGAAATTAACAGAAGAAAAGCACTTGTGTTTCTACACACTAACAAAGAGGAACCTGAAAATGAAATTAGGAATAAAGTACCTAGGAATAAATGTAACGAAAGAAGTGTAAGAGGCGTACGCTGAAATTTACAAAATATTATTGAACTAAATTAAAGACCTAAATAAGTGTAAAGACATCTCATGATCATGGATCACAAGACTAAATAGTGTTAAGGTGGCAACACTCCAAAATTGATCCAAAGATTGAATACAATTTCTGTCAAAATCTCAGCCACCCTTTAAAAAAATTGACAAGCTCATTATAACATTGGTTTGGAAATGCAAGGGAACGCAAATAGTAAAAATGATCTTGTAAAAGAACAAATTTGCAGGACTCACTCCTCAATTTCAAGTCTTAATACAAAATGGTAGTAACCAAGGCACTGTACTACTAGCATGAGCATAAACAGACAATAATAGAATTGAGAGTCCAGAAATAAATCCTTGTCCGTATGGCTAAGGGTGCCATGGCCATTCAATGGAGGAAATTACAGTGTATTCAACAAATGATTCTGCCACAACTGAGTATCTACGTACAAAAAAAAAATGAAGCTGGATCCCTACTTCACAAAATATACAAAAATTATCACCAAAAAAATAAGGCTACAGGATCTGAGACCTAAATGTAAGAGCTAAAACTATAAACACTCATATAAGAAAACAAGAGTAAAGATCCATAATCTTGGATTCTTAGCTATAACACCAAAGAAACAAGTGACAAATGAAAAAAGATAAATCAACAACAACAAAATTTGAAAAATTTTGTGCATCAAAGGACAGCATCAAGAAAGTGAAAAGACAATACACAGAATGAGAGAACATATTTGCAAATTATATATTGACTAAAGGGCCCATATTCCAAATATATAAATACTCCTTACAATACACAAATAAAAAGATGAATCACCTCATTTAAAAATGAATAAGAAATCTGAATAGACATTTCAAAAGAGATATACAAACAATCAGCTCCTACAAAGAGCTAATGCTCAAAATTGTCAGCCATCAGGAAAATACAAACCAAAACCACAATGAGATACCACTTTACGACCACTGCGATGACTATAATCAAAGGGACAAATAGCAAGTATTGTTGAGGATGTGGAGAACTGGAACCCTCATGCATTGCTAGTAGCACTGAAAAATGCCACAGATGCTTCAGGAAACAATCTGGATGTTTCTCAAACAGTCAAATATGGAACTACCGTACGATCCACTCCTAGGTATTCACTCACTAAAAATGAAGACATATGTCCCTCACATAAAAACATATAAGCAAATGTTCATAACAGCATTAGTCATAATATGCAAAGAGCAGAAACAACTCAAATGTCTATCAAATGATGAACAGATAAACAAAAAGTGGCATGTTCACACAATAGAAAATTATTAGGCAATAAAAAGGAATGGCATTCTTCCATGTGCTACAGTGTAGATGACCCTTGAACATACTACACTAAGTAAAGAAATATACAAATCTATAGAGACAGAAGGTAGATTAGTAGTTGCCAAGGGATAGGGAACCAGGGCAATACGGAGTGACCACTAGTGGATACAGGGTTTCTTTGGGAGTGATACTAAAATGTTCAAGAAATCGAGAGTGGTGATCAAAGCACAACTTTATTAATATATTAAAACCACAGTACTGTATATTCAAGATGGTGAGCTTTATTGTGTGTAAATTATAACATGATAAAGCTGTTATTTTTTCCAAAAATCACGTTCTTGTCCCCCTACCTGGTTTTTAAACTCATCTTATAAAATAGCAAAATAAATAATTCTGTTGCAAAACTTCTGTTCATAGTATCAAGCTTATATTTCATCCATTTCAACCGTTTGAAAAGAGAAAATATAACTAAATTTTTTTATTTAATTCAAAAGGTTACCCTTTAAAGAAATGTAAGTAAAGGAATCACCTGGATAATTTTCTACAATGCATTGAGAACAATATTAAAGAAACATATTTCCCCTAAATCAATGTGTATATTACAGTTTAAAATGTTGATTAGTTTTCATTTAAGCATTAATGTCCCTTGGAGACACAGAGACAAAAGCCACAGGTGGGAATTAAAGTAACACTGCTTATCAGAAATAAAGAATAATGTCTATGTTGCCAAAGTAACAAAACTGTCTCATGTATGATTTGACATTCACTTATCAATGTTTCTAAAATGCAACTCTTATCTTGCCTTTGTTGTAAATTTCATTTCCCAGCAATGATTTCACAGATTCCCCTCTATATGCATGTCTCATTTATTTGTTTCCAGAATGAATTAAACCATAGAGATATGGCCAGGGCTGTTTCTGTCTCACTCTCCATGAGAAATAAATCATTGTTTTAATCCAGAAGACTACACCGTATGATTATTACTCACAATTTTCAGCCTTCTATATGAACTCTCTCTTATAATGATCCCCAAATCACAACATTGCTGACGGCAAGTGATCCTAAAGGTAATGTAGATCACAGTACAAAGTAGATGATCCATAAATGTTTGCTGAATTAAATCTTCTAACTTTTGATAGCATACCACCACACCTAGCTAATTTTTTTATTTTTAGTAGAGATGGGGGGGGGTCTCACCACGTTGGCTGGGCTGGTCTCGAACTCCTGACCTAAGGTGATCTGCCCGCCTTGGCCTCCCAAAGTGCTGAGACTACAAGCATGAGCCACCACGTCGAGCCCTTCATCCCATGCTGAACAGCGCTAATTGTTAGATACTTCTCCTAACTTTAACTTCTCAGATCATCTTTGTGTCCTCTGTAGCTACATACAATCCTGCTTTTATGCTTTCCCTATGGATATTTTGAAATGTTTATCGTGCTTGATGTTGCTCAGCCTGTTTTTTGCTTGTAGGTTTGCTTCCAAGCTCAGAAATTTTATACTTGTACAATTGTCAAATCGAGCTTGCCCTTCAAATTTAAATCTATAGTTTTTGGATCTGGTTCTTAGTTCCTTTTTAGGAACTATCCTAAAAAGAGATAAATGCTAAATTCACATTTTTTGAATTGGTAATAGTTTCCCAAGACATAATTCTATTCCACCCATCTTCCAAGCAGGTGTGCTCCTTTTAACAAAGATGTAGCTTTATTCTGGTTGCAAGGCCTATCCTTCAAAATCTAGATGTCTGGTTCAACAAGCCTCCAGCAAACAATTCTTTATGGTTTGTTCACTCCAGTAGCTTAGGCTACAGCCTGCATGGAAAATTTCCCTTTCTGAGTACACCCATGTAGCCAGCTACAGGACTTTGTAAATATCTCCCCCTCTCTCAAAAGGTCCAACATGCCTATAATATAGTAGTCTTCAGAGCTATTTCCAAAATTACTTCTGACAGTATTATTTGTCCTTTAAAGTACCAGTAAAATAGGTTGGGTGTGTAGTTTTGGTAAGTTTGGGAGGTTATCTTCCAAAGTTCAGGTACACTTCATAGAGACACATCATATACTGACTGACCTGTAACATGATTTCCTTAAGTTTTACTAGTAACATGTCCCTCACATAATCACTGCCATAACAATGATCACATTGCTCCCAGTGCCAAAACCAGGTGATCTCACTCTGAAATTCTCCTTCATGTGCTATGGATCCAGAAGATTCAGATAAATACTCTGAAGGAGGAGGATGTATTTGAAACAACTGCACCTCACCTCCAGAATTTGCTTATAGAACCATGATAATTTCAGGAATTTTTTTCTGGTAAATTATGCCTGTGTTGGTGCCACTTGTTGATGTCAGGGTGACAATTTACACAGATACAGTTTACCAAAAACTATACTGTCTGGTGAAGACATTCTGAGAAATCTACTCTGTATCAGACCAATTTGTAAATGGGGATTTCAGGTAGTCATTTATTCAACCTGTACTTCTCAAGCACATTTAGGCATTATTTGGCCTAAAGAGAAGAACTGAAGAAAAAAATGGCTGTGAGACCTGGGCCATGTCTTATTGACGACTTTTTTCACTGGAGACTAGAACTATGTTATAACTCATAGATTAAAACACCGAGCCTGGGCATCTAACATTTCTAGTTTGTTCTATGATTTCTAGGCTGAATTTTCTAAAGAGAGAAATCATTTCTTGACCAGATTTAAACCTTCCCAATAGCCATCTCATAGTAAATGTCCCCAAAATGCCCAATGACCAGGCTCTAGCTACTCTAAAAGCCTCCATTTAAACAGATGTAATAAGACAAAAAAAATGCAAAGAGATAATCCAAGTACCATTAACTATCTTATATATTAATAACTCTAAATAAGCAGCTCATATACGGTACTATGTTAAGATTAAAAGCCTTCATACATTTGTTCTTATATTAAAATGAACACCTGCTGTTAAGTCTGTACTCACTCTGCACATAAGAAACAAATAGTTAAGGAAGCAGTAATTAAAGGAACTCTCAAATACTAGCTTCTTTGGAGAAAAAATAATTTTATGTAGCCAGATTTTACTGATTTGTGCACTCTTAGCTCAATATATGAGAATTATCCTTAAAAGAGTACCAACTCTCAATTCTGTAAGTTATATGCACATTTTCAAATATGGCTCTGATTACATCCTCCTTTTTTTAAGAAAATAAACTATTTATTTGTGAACTGTTTGCTAATGATAGTTAAATTAACTGAGTTTTGGCAGTTCTCTAATCTACTGCAAGATCTTACTAATCCAGTCATTCTCTTCAGTTTTCCTTGGAAGCATGAAAACTTGTTTAAACATCATAAAAATGTTACTATCAGCCCAAACCAGAGGAATGTTGCAAAAGAAAAATTGTAGAGCAATGCCTCTAGCATGTGAAGGCAGCTCTAACATCCATAAAGTCAAGAGGGATCTTCCTTTCTCTCATTCATGGAAAAAACAGTTTATATGATTTAAGAATTCAGGTAACTACACAATTTGAATTTACAAAAATTGTCTTTAATTCTATGAATTTGTAAAAACCTGTTTTTTCTTCCTAAATTAAATAAATATTTTAAAATCTGGGATACTCTAAAATATCACTTTTGTTTTTCATAAATAAAAAAATTTAAATATAAATAATGTTAAACATGAAACCACTGGGAATGCATCACCCATTCCCCAACAGTATTTATAACTAGTCAGAGAACAATGGAGGTGTTTTTCATCAAAACTTTCCTCAGAATATCTACATGCGGTTCTTATAGCTATTATAAAATAATGAACACTGATATCAGCTCATTTAGAAAGTGGATTATAACATAATGTTTTTAAGTGGATTATAACATAATGTTAACAGGAAAATGTTTAAATTCTAAAATTTTCCCTAAATTATTGGAATAGGCTTCAAGAAAATAATCATGTTTCATAGTCACATATTAATATTTGTACATAGCATATTTTAATCATGTTTATACACCCCAATATTTTATTTATAAAATAGTGTGAACAAAATAAAAGGTCTGCCATCTTACAAAAAAAAGTCATTTAATATTGGATAAATAGTTCTAAGGGCAGAAAATGCTGAAGCAAAGGCAGTAACCAACATGCCTTGAAAAATTACTTCTACTTTTTACATGTTAGCTATTTAGTGATAGAAATGTGAAAGTTTGGAAAAGCACTTACAGTAATCAACAATTATGTATTAAGAACTCTATCCACCAAAATAATTCAAGTACGATGTAGCAAAAACTTATGGATACATTTTTTGTAAATAGTGTTTACTGATGAACTGAGGTGGCATGCAGAACCCCGCAGTTGGATTGTTATTTGAAACAAGTTGGGCAACTTTTCATTGCTTGTTCCTACCATAAAAAAAGCTACTGACATGCCAATGGATGACTAAGACTGGAGAGAAGTCAAGAGGGGAGCATTCTTTTGAAGACCAGTGGCTACGTTTATATTATTTAGTTGCGCGCATGCACACACACACACGCACGCACACACAGACACGCACACACACACAAATAGGAATAGCAAGTCATACTAATTTCTATTGCAGAAAATCTGAATAAAAATGTTCAGAGGGACATCCTTCCAACACTTATTTTCCTGTTACATCAATAGTTTAAAATGTGCTGCTGACTTCTCATGCTGTTGAAGGTAGCAAAATTCACATTAATATTCTTATTTGAATTGATTTTCCCATAAAATATAGGGAGACCATACTAATATGAAAAAATCAGTCAGGTGACTATCCCATATAGTTTAACAGTACTCATATATATTTAAGAGGACATGAACAGGGAATACTCTCTCATAAAAAAAAAAAATCCCAGTCATTCTCAAAAGCGTAACAAATAATTCTCCTAGACTATCTTATTAGCAATATCATGAATTATACAACAGAAATGCTTGTTCAAATGTTTTTTCTGATAAGAAACACTGCATTTTAAAAAGCACCCTCTATTTTAATATTTAATACCTCAGCCTATCTAGATCTCCAAAAGTAACAAGCTATTTCAGAAAGAAGTGCACTTCTAGTAATGTTAAAAGCATTTCTGGCGTTTTATATTATCTGCTTTTTAATGACTGTATTTTCCTAGCATTAAAAATGAATTAATCTCTTTCTCCCTAAGTACTCTCTTGAACATATAGTGAAAGAAATAGTTCAACAGGTTATTTTCCCTTGCTAAAGCCACATAGATCGTTGCCTCTCTTTGCATATCTGGTTTAAAAGCAAAACATCTTACTGTGCATCCAACTCAAAGCTCATCACCTGTATACAGTTTCAGATATAGAAAGTTTTATTATTTTCTATAGAAAATAGAAAAAGTACTGATTTTAGGCTAGAGTATTGAAACACAAATGAAACGTAAATTAAGGTACTATCATACAGTTTCATTCAGCAAGAAAGTTGGTTATTTTAACTCTACAGTGTAAAAATAAAATCATTTTAAGTAATTAACATTAATAATTTGGAATAGTCTATAAGAAATGCAAGCAATTGCCTCCCATCAATTCTCCAAAATTATATTACAGTTATTAAATAGAGGTGTTCTTGCTTTTGCATTCTGACATGTTTCAATCATCATAGTGGTTGCTGTGTGTGTTTGTGTGTGTGTGTGTGTGTGTATTTATTTATTTATCTAAGGATTCAGGTCTCACCCTGTCACCCAGACTGGAGTGTCGTGGCATGATCATAGCTCAGTGCAGCCTTGAAATCCTAGAATCAATCGTCTGGCCACAGCCTCCTGAGTAGCTGCAATTATAGGCACATGCCACCACACCTGCCTAATTATTTTATTTTTTTAGAGGCTGGGTCTTGCAATGTTGAAGTTCTGACCTCCAGCAATCCTTCTGCCTCAGCCACCTGAGTTGTTGGAATTATAAGCATAGCCACCATCCCTGGCACTAAGTATTAATTTAAATCACACTGATGGAACAATAGCATTATAATTACTTTAAAAAATGGAATAAAAAAGTTTCGACCCCAGGTAAGATGGGAGTGATCACCTTCCAACATGACTCTCACTGAAGACAGCCACAAAACCCGGACAGACTGCAAGGACCAGCTATTTGAAGGCTTTGAAAAGTACACAGTATATGGAAGAGTAGAGAAGAAGATCAGAATTCAAAATACCATTAATCCAATAATGAGTTTGGAATTTTTTCCCTCCAGTATATCCTGGGCTGAACTCAACACACTGGGGTTCCAGAAGGTAGGACCAACTATGTTTTTTCTCTGCCCTCCCAAAACTTGGCCCTGGGTGCTGGCACAGTTACAGAAGGTCATGGTAAACAGTGGTAACTAAAGTCTCAGCACTCTGCTTGGGGGAAAAAGAAGGCTCAGACAACTGGAAAATTCCAGAGAATAATGGCAGAGAAAATGTTGAGAAAGTAACCACAAACATTTTTATAAACACCTGGGCTCATCTACAGCTCCCTAAATGTAGACTTGATCCTATTCAGCACACTAAAAACCTTGAGAAGTGAATCCATATATAGTCTACCACCCAGGACTCAAGTTGGACCCTGGAAGGTACACACAAGAAACAGATCCAAGTAACACTGTGAAGACTTGAAAACTTATCTGACATCAGGACTACAACCTACAGAAGGCAAGTTGAAAGTTGTGGCCTAAACTCAGCCAGCTTAACTGACCACTAAAAATATAAATATCAACAGTTTCCACAGCATTTAAACAAGACAGAGTCTCATGTAATAATGATGTCAGCTACAGGCAATCCGGAGCAGCTGCTGCCATGGTGCTGGCTGCAGTGGGGAGATGTGAGTGATGGCAGCAGGGGGAACTGAAGAAGCAGCAGTGGCAGCAGTGGGTCTCTTTGCCCCACATACCCAAGGCAGCCGACTACACAGCCAACCACACCACCCCCACCTTCACATAGCCAGGTGGGACCTACCCAGAGGCCCAGACTATAAAATCCATGGCTTGGGATTCGGCCCTGTGTCGCCACTCTTGCCTGATGCTGCTGTGGGGAGGACACAGGGAGGAGGTGGAGCTGGGCCTGGGATGGTGCCACATTCCATGGAGACACCATGATGGGGCCAGGCCAAGCCATCTGCCAGTAGGGGAGCAGCATGGTCAGGCACAGAGGAGTGGGCAAAGAGGGGCCCTGTGAGGACCTGAAGTCCCCAAATCAGGCTGTGAGGAGGCACAACTGGTGCTGCCTGTATGCTCTACCAAGTGCATATGCATGCGCTCCACTGCCTTCCCATGTGCAGGTCCCAGGCATCTCTGGATTCTGCACCCTCAGGGGTCTGGGAAGGCCCTCCTGACCCCACAGGCTTGGTGGTGACTGCTCTCACTTCCTGGCCTTTCCCCATTCCCAGTGCCTGCTCCGATCTTGTAGTGGGGTTGGGGCCAAGCATGGGTGCTATCACAGCCCAGCCAGGTGTGTGCACGCTCCAGCAGTGCTGACACATCATCCCCCTGCACCCTGGCCTGCTCCATACTTTGGGCACCAAAGAGTGGGTGGGGGAAACAAGTAGGGGCTTAGGGCAGTTCAACACTGACCTATAGGTGCCCCTTGGTGAGAGCAGCCTGGGCCCATGGACGGCAGCAGGAGGCAGACAGGCTCCTGGACAAAAGGGGGCAGGTCCCTGGTGAGGCCCTACCTTCAGGCCAGGCTGCCAGTCCCACTCACTGAAGTGGGAATTGCAGTGACTTTTCTGGGCCCACCCATGGCCACCCATGGACCAATTGGTGCACATTTCCTCCCATGTGAGGCCCATAAAAGCCCCAGGCTCAGCCACAGCTGAGCAGATGATGGGTCAACTAGCTACAGGGAGGAGCTACCCTCTCTCCTTTGAGTAAGCACATGAGACAATCTGTCTGCAGAGAAGAGCTACCTTCTCTGCTAGGAGCTAAGGAGCTTTCTCCCTGTGGGAGACTGAGGTGTTCTGTTGCTCAGTAAAGCTCCTCTTGTCTTGCTCACCCTTCACTTGTCTATGTACCTCATTCTTCCTGGTTGCAAGAGAAGAACTCGGACCTACTGAATGGCAAAGCTAAAAGGGCTGTAACACAAACAGGGCAGAAAGATGCCCCTTTCTCAACACATTGCAAAGAGAAGGAGAGGAGAGAAGAAGAGAAGGAGTTTGTGGCCCTTCTAGGAGCCCAAACTTGGGAGCTCCACATGCCAGACCAGGCCTGTGACTCCCTCTTTGGGGCCCTGCAGTTCCTGGCATCTCCAAGCTTCCGGGCACCCCCACATTTTCCAGTGCCAGGCAGGGAAGCTGTTTGCAGTAACGCCTGGTCCAATCACAGCCTCTTGGAGAGCCGGCGCCCATGCCGGCACCTGGAGCTGCCCACTCTACTGCAGCAGCCAGCGTGTCTACAGCACAGTGGCCGGACCCCACACTTGCTCACACACCCCTCACCACTCCACACCTCCATGACTTACAGTCTCCCTTGGAGGCATGTGATCCATACCAATAGCATGAGCTGAGTGCAGCCTGCTAGGCCAAGAGGATGGAATGGGCCCTGTGGGCCCTAGGAAAATGCGGAAAAGGCACCAGCAGCCACAGGTTTCTGGCCAGAAAAATAACATCCCAAAGATCAGTAAAAATAAAATGTTCAAGATAATATAAAAAATTACTCAGCATATAAAGAACAGGAAAAATCTCGATTGCACAGGAAAGGACATTAAAAAGATACCATTACACTATGGTCAAGTGGCCAAGAAGACATAACCATCTTAGTTGTGTATGCACAAAAATCAGAACTAAATCCGTAAATCTAAAACCAACAATTGTGAAAATAGAAATAGACAAAGCTACAAATATAGTGTAGGACTTCAATACTTCTCTCTTGGTAACAGATAGAACACATAGATAAAGAGCCAGCAAGAACGGAGAAGCACTGAAAATTTCCATAAGTCAACTGAATCTAATTGACATTTATAGGTTACTCTGCCCAACAACAGCAGAATATACATTCTATGCACATGCATCTGGAATATTCCCCAGGATAGACCATATCCTGGGTCATAAAACTAACAACAATGCACTTGAAGTCATTAAAATCATACACAGCGTGTTCTCTGTAACTGAATTAAATCAGAGAACATTAATAAAAAAAACATAAAATTCCCATTAAACACTTGAAAACTAACAACACACTTCTAAATAATCTATGGGTCAAAAAGAAAATTTCAAGAGAAATTATAAAATATTTTAAACTCAATGAAAATATAGTGACAGAGTTTATAAAATGAAGCTAAATATAGGAGAAAATTTGCTTTTTTTTCTTTTGAGATGGAGTCTCGCTCTGTCGCCCAGCGTGGAGTGCAGTGGCGAGATCTGCAAGCTCTGCCT
This sequence comes from Homo sapiens, assembly GCF_000001405.40. Taxonomy (NCBI): domain Eukaryota; kingdom Metazoa; phylum Chordata; class Mammalia; order Primates; family Hominidae; genus Homo; species Homo sapiens. The sequence goes on along the minus strand of NC_000013.11, from coordinate 93,471,457 downwards.
CCCAGGTTCATGCCATTCTCCTGCCTCAGCCTCTCAAGTAGCTGGGACTACAGGCACCCGCCACCACGCCTGGCTAATTTTTTTTTTTTTTTTTTTTTTGTATTTTTAGAAGAGACAGGGTTTCACCACGTTAGCCAGGATGGTCTTGATCTCCTGACCTCATGATCTGCCTGCCTTGGCCTCCCAAAGTGCTGGGATTACAGGCATGAGCCACTGCACCCGGCCTAAATGCTTATATAAGAAAAGAAGAGAGACCTCAAAATTTCCATCTTAACTAGCTAGAAAAAAAGGAGCAAAATAAACACAAAGCAAGTTGAAGCAAGAAAATAAGAATATGAAAAGCCAAAATCAATGGAATTGAAAAATCAAAAGCAATTGAGAATATCAGTAACAACAAAAACTGATTTTTAAAAAATCAACAAAATTGGTAAACCTTTAGGAGACACAGATTACCAATGAAAAGAATCAAAGAGAACATATTATTATAGACCCTACAGACATTAAATGGATAATAAAGCAATATATGAACAACTCTATGAACATAAATCCAACATTTTAGTTGAAAAGGACCAATTCCTCTAAATCTGCAAATTGCAAAAATGACTGATGATGAAATGGATAACATTTATCATCCGATTTAAAAGAAATTGATTTTGAAAAAAAAGGAAATTTTGAAAAAGAAATCTCAATTTCCATATAGTTTAACTGGCAGATTCTACTAAATATTTAAAGAAAAAATAACACCAATTTTATAAAATTTATTTCAGAAAAAAAAGAGAAGGGAATACTTCTCCAAATCATTTATAAGGATGTCATTACCATGATATCAAGTCCAGAGAAAAACAGTACCAAAGAAAAAGAAAACAAGAACAAAAAAGTAAACTATATTCTAATATCCCTCATTCACACAAGTGCAAAAAATCCTCAAAACCATATTTGCAAATCGAATCCAACAATATATAAAAAGGATAAAAACCACAATTCAGGGGGATTTATCCAGGTAATGCAAGGCCAGACCAATATTTGAAAATCAACCTATAAAAGCCATTATATTAACAGTCCGAAAAGAAATCCCTTATGATTTTACCAACTGATGCAGAAAAATAATATGAAGAAGTTAATGTTCATTAACGATTTAAAAAATTATTGCAGCAAACTAGAAATAAAAATAATTTTTCCTAACCTATTAAATGACATTCACAAAAACACTACACCTACAATGTCATTTAATGAAGAAAGACTGAACACTGTCCTGAGTAATCCTAGCCACTTCAATAAGACAAGAAAAAAAAATCTCTATGGGAATATAGTTTGTCAGTATAGACAAGCTGATTTTAAAATTTATTTGGGAAGGCAAAAGATCTAGAATTACCAAAAAAATGGCAAAGGAACACAGTTGGAGAAATTACACTATCCAATTTCAAGTCTTCCTGTAAAACTAATCAAGACTATACAGAATTGGTGGGAGGATATACACATTGACCAACTGAATAGAAAATAAGGAACACAGAAATAAACATACTCCCCCAATATGGTCATTAAATTTCTGACAAAAACAGAAAAGCAATTCAAAAGAAAAAAGATTCCCTTTTCAGTAAATGGTGTTCATACCATTCAACATCCACATGCAGAACAAAAAGTAACACCACCACCAACAACAAAAAAAACCTAGTGTAAATTTCATACTTTCTACAAAAGTTTTAACTTAAAATGGATCACAGATCTAAACATAGAATCCATAACCATAAAACCTTTAGAGGAACAGATAGAAGATCTTTGTCATCTGGAGTTATGACACCAAAAGCATGACCCACAGAAAGCCTGGTAAACAAACATTGGTGCTGATGAGTCCAAACATAATTTCTTTCATTGCAACCATGGTCGTTTCATTCATATTCCTATCATGGCCACTCCAATCTGGAGTTATGACACCAAATGCATAATCCATAGTAATAAACTTGGCTTTATAAAATTGAAGAGTTTTTTTCTGTGATACATTGTTAATAGAACCAAAGGATGGGGTAACAGATTGAGAAAAATATTAATATCTGCAATGAACTTATTTATCCAGCAAAGGACTTTTATCTTGTATCATATCCTGAATATAATGATGTTTACCAAATCTATAAAGGTGTTAAAATTAATAGACCTGTGCAACAACAATGACAAAAACCACTTGAAGTAGACAGTTATTTAAAAATATAAGAAATAATTGAATACAATACAATTTTATTGAATTTCAATAATTCATTCAAAATTATTGAATTTTGAAGTGGGATTTCAAAATTTCATTTATAATACATTTATTTATTGCTAAAAATACATAATATTCAGCTTCATTATGATATTTTTGTTAAGGTCTTAGGTAAAGCTGCAAAGCGCAAAATCTAGCCATTTTTGCATTTTCTCAGATGCCCTTAGGAATGATCTTAATTACACTGGTGATTAGTATCAGAAAGGAACTAAATTGAAGTGGAGAACTAAGCCTAAGAACTCTGCCCTCTGAGAAAGCAAGAACCAAAAAACAAACAAACAAACAAAAAACCCACAGTCTAATTAGTGTCATTTGCAATAAAATATTGAGGTAGTTAAATGTTACAGTGGTTTACTTTGACAAATTATAACAATCAAGCCAAACTTTTATTTTTGTTTAACCTATTGAAACTGCCCCATCCTTGCATAGTGCAATTGCATTCATTAGAAATTGCCCCAGTTAGTTTACCTTAGGTATTCCTTCTTCTGTTAGTTTATCTGAAAGTGATTTTTCTGTTGGCCTGAATATTATGCATGCTCTTCTCTAGGGCTGTGTGCATTGCTGAATATCACACTTGTGGCTTTGTTTGTTCTGATTGCTGTGAATGTAAGCCTCACTTTCTATGTACATATTAAATGCACAGTACTCTGGAAAGCTAATTAACTCTTAAAAATATTTTTTAAAGTATTTCTTTTAAACTCCAGTCCCCAGCCCCGAATTATAATTTGCTTCTTTATTACAATAAGATATATAAGCAAATTAAATCTTCAGACTTCATGAGGATGCTTTACACAATGAATTTGGAACTCTTTTTTATAAAAGAAATGACATTCAATATTCTCATGTGGAACATAGGGATAAGTGGAGAAACTGTCTCATTTTAAGGCATAAACTTCATTAAAATAAGTGAACTAATCTGTGGAATATCTTTGAATTCAAAGCCCAAATTCATTCATTACAGGGTAATGGCCATTAAGATCAAGACCAGTAATTGAAGATATTCGTGTATATGTGGGCATAAAATGAAAAATTTTACTTTCTATGACTCTACTAAAGAGTTTTCAGGTTCAATTAACATTCAAGCTCACAAAATTCAAAGCCCAAATTCATTCATTACAGGACAATGGCCATTAAGATCAAGACAAATGATTGAAGATATTTGTTTATCTGTGGATAAAAAAATCAAAAATTTTACTTGCTAGGACTCTACCCAAGAGTTTTCAGGTTCAGCTAAACATTCAAGCTCACAAGACCACCACAAGTGTCACCTGGCATCAAACACTTAGAAGGTTACAGGACAAGAATCACCGCTTGGCTGGGCACAGTGGCTCACACCTGTAATCTCAACACTTTGGGAGGCCTTGGCGGGAAAATCACTTCAGCCTAGGAATTCGAGACCAGCCTGTGCAAGATAAGGAGAAACTGTCTCTACAAAAAAATAAAAATAAAAAATAAGCTGGTCATGGTGGTGCATGCCGGTGGTCCCAACAACTTAGGAGGCTGAAGTGGGAGGATGGCTTGGGTCCAGGAGCTCGAGACTGCAGTGAGTCATTGTGATCACAATACCGCACTCCATCCTGGGTGACAGGATGAGACCATGTCTCAAAAAAAAAAAAAAAAAAAAAAAAGAATCACAGCTTGCCAGCAGGGTAGCATCAGGTATTATTCTGCAGAATTATCAGGAGCAATCCACACTGTTCCTCAGGTGCAAGAAGACAAGATACATACCAGTGGGTATGACAGTCATCCTGGTTACAAGCCTCATGCTCCACGAGGAGTCCATATGTACTAAATTAATCCCATGGACATAGCTTTCAGGACCACCCTCCTGGTGCATACCATTTGTAAGTCACCATACTCAGGAATCACAACATTACGGCAGCACCATCTGGTATGTGTAATTCATTTATAATTCTTCCCAGTATATATGCAAATTACCAATCAGGGGTCATGACATAGCAACCTTGCTTAGTAACTTGGTTGGTGTACCACTTTTATAAGGTTATCAGATCAGAGGCAGGGAGTTAACTAAAGGTCAAATTATTATGCAGAAAGAAAAAACATTTTGTTAACATTTTGCTTATAAAGGGGGTAGAAAGAAGAAAGGCAACGTTGTATACAGAAAAATATTTAAGACTTGGATTTAGAAAACATGGGGCTGAACCCCTGACTGCATCTTGACAACTATGTATCATTAAGAAAAGTATTTTACCTCATAGACTCCCCTTTCTTTGTCAGTAAATTTAGGATAATACTTGTTCTCAAGCATTTATTTTGAGGATAATATCACAGGTCAGATTTGGACTGAGTGAGTGTCCCAGAATTATAACTCAATTAATAGTGAAGAACAGATTGTAACTGATGAGACAGCAAATTTACTGTTATCAGATCCATAGTAGTACTCCACCAGCACATGAGAATAAAAGCATAGCTTTGAGCCTCCACCATTTGTCTTTCGTAATCTTTCATTGACTCTTCCATACACATGCCAAATTATATACTAGAATGCGTATTCTTTGAGAAACAAGGACCCTGTCCATCACTTTAAAAATCCCCCATGGCAGCCAGCTAGTTGCTCAATACATTTTTGTTAAACAATCACACTCAACTAAAACCACTGGAAAGCCAAAATATACTATTTTTTTAAATTAACTCTTCTGTAACCTAAACAATACAGATGATCACAATTCCTCGACTCATTCAATAAATATTTACTGACCATTACCACATATCAAGGATAGTGTTAAGTGCTAGAAATGTAACTCTTTAACAGGTTAGCAAAATTTTCTATGTTTCAGAGAGCTTACATAACAGCTGAGAAGACTGTTAAAAAATGAGTAAATATTCAGAAAATAATTATACATCACGTGATATACGTGACGAAAACAAATGAGTGAATCAAAGAATATCTAGATGAATCACTTTATACAGGCATGCTTCATTTTATTGTACTTCACTTTATTGTTCTTCACAGATACTGTTTTTTTTTACAATTTGAAAGTTTGTGGCAACCCTGCATCAAGAAAGTATATCAGCACCATTATTCACACAGTATGTGCTCATGGCATGCCTATGTGTCGCATTCTGGTTAATTCTCCCAATATTTCAAACTTTTCCTTATTACTGTATTTGTTATGGTGATCTGTGATTAGTAATCTTTGATGTTATTATTGTAATTATTTTAATAATTTCTGTGTTCTGACTGGTCTATCAACCAGCCGTTCCCCCCATCTCTGTCTGTCTCCTTAGACCTTCCTGTTTCCTGAAACACAGTGATATTATTAGGCAAATTGATAATCTGGCAACGGCCTCTAAGTATTCAAGCACAAAAAAGAGTAGTACCTCTTTCATTTTAAAGAAAAAGCTAAAAGTTATTAAGCTTAGCGATTAAGGCACATTGAAAGCTGAGAAAGGCCAAAAGGCTAGGCCTCTTGTGCCAGTTAGCCAAGCTGTGAATGCAAAGGGAGAGTTCTTGAAGAAAATTAAAAGTGTTACTCCAATGCACACACGAATAATAACAAACTGAAACAGCCTTCATGCTGATATGGAGGAACTATTAGTGCTCTACATAGAAGATCAAACCAGCCACAACATTCTCATAAGCCAAAGCCTAGATTAGGCCCTAACTCCCTTCATCTCTATGAAAGTTGAGAGAGGTGAGGAAGCTGCAGAAAAAAAGTTTGAATCTAGCAAAGGTTGATTCATATGGTTGAAGCAAAGACGCTTTCTCCATAAAATAAAAGTGCAAGGTGAAGCAGCAAGTGCTAATGGAACACTGCGAGAAGTTTATCTGGATGATCTAGCTTAAAAAAGAATTGATGGTGACTACACTAAACACATTTACCATGTAGATAAAACACGCTTCCAGTGGAATAAGATGCCATGTAGGACTTTTATAGCTAAAAAGGAGAAAATAAGTAACTGAATTTAAAGCCTCAGAGGACAAGTTGACTCTCTTTTTAGAGGCTAATGCAGCTGGTGACTTCAAGTTGAAGCCAATGCTCATTCGCCATTTCAAAAATCATAGGTACCTTAGGAATTATACTAAATGTACTCTGATGGTGCTCTATAAACAGAACAATCGAGCCTGGATGACAGCATATCTGTTTTACAGCACAGTTTACTGAATATTTTAAACTCACCCTTGAGATGTACTGTTCAGAAAAACAACAGATTCTTTTCAAAATATTACTTCTCATTGACAATTCACCTGGTCTCCCAAGAGTTTTGATGGAGGTGGACAGAGAGGTACATGTTGTTTTGATTCCTGCTAACACAATATCCATTCTGCAGCCCATAGATCAATGAGTCATTTCAACTTTCAAGTCTTATTATTTAAGAAATACATTTCATAAGGCTATAACTTCCATAGATAGTGATTCCTCTGATGGATCTGGCCAAAGTCAATTGAAAACCTCCTGGAAATGATTCACCATTCCAGATGCCATAAAGAACATTTGTGATCCATGAGAGGAAATCAAAATACCAACATTAACAGTTGTTTGGAAGAATTTGATTCCAACCCTCATAGATGACTTGGAGGGGTCCAAGAATTCAATGGAGAAAATCACCAGAGACATGGTATAAAGAGCAAGAAAACTAGAAATAGAAGTGGAGACTGAAGATGTGACTGAATTGCTGCAATCTCATGATCAAACAAACAAATGAGGAGTTGCTTCTTATGGGTGAGCAAAAATGTCAGTTTCTTGAGATGGAACGCACTCCTGCTGAAGATGCTGTGACCATCTTTGAGATGACAACAAAATATTTAGAACATTACATAACTGAGTTGATAAAGCTGCAGCAGGGTCTGAAAGAATTGACTTCACTTGTGAGAGAAGTTCTACCATGGCTACAATGTTATCACATAGGATCACATGCTACAGGGAAATACTTCACCAAAGAAAGAGCCAATCAATGCAACAAACTTCACTGTTGTCTTATTTAAGGCAATTGTCACATTCACCCCAACTTTCAGCAACTACCCTCCTGATCAATCAGCAGCCAAAAACATGGAGTCAAGTTGTGGCACTAACAAAAAGATTAGGATTTACTGAAGGATCAGACGATCATTATCATTTTTTTAGCAATAAAGTATTTCTAAATTAAGATATGTACCGGTTGTAGACACAACACTATTGAATACTCAGTGTACAGTATAGTGTAAACTTAAGTTTTATGCACTGGGAAACTAAAACATTTGTGTGACTTAATTATTTTGATAATTGCTTTATTGCTGTGGTCTGGTACTGAATCCACCATACCTCAGAGATATGCCTTTATAAGGTAGTCAGGGATCATTACAATTAAGCAGAAATTTGAGGACTTACGTAAGCAAAGAAGAGCAGGGTGGAAAATAAATCAAGCAAATGCCGTAAGTCAGAACAACAACAACATGGTTGGTGTGCTTGAGGATAGATAGAAAACTGTCTTTGTATGAAAAAAGAAAAAAAAAAAAGTGGAGCCATTTACTTACAAGGCAACAATATGTCAAAAGGCGTTCCAGAATGTGGTTCAGGTTAATTAGGGAAGTTGTCATTCAGGTCCTAACATGGTCTCTAATTCAACTGATAAAGTTCAACATTGGTACACAGTGGCATGCTAAAAATTACTAATGAGATACCTACAATAAACTCTGATGGAGGTTTCCTGTCAAAAAACAAACCACAGCTCTCAAACATGGCAGAGACCTGGGCTACACAAGAACTCTTTAAGTGGATCTAGTACTTGAATCACACTAAGAACGGTGCTTCACATCCAAATTGAAACCAGAACAACTGAAGAGCCAGATGTCCAGCTCTGGCAAGATTTAATATAAGTCACGTCCACCTGGTCTTCTGGTCTACCAGATGAGTTGTGACGGCCATTTTCGCAAACGTCCATGAAACACAGATCTTTAGATGTTATTTCTTTCTTTTCTTCAATTAAGCACCCATGCAGGGGCCAAATACTGTGGCTACCTAATAAAACATTTATATTTCAAGCAGGAGAAACTCATGCATTTGCCAAAAATAATTATAGATTATACCACAAGTAATTTCATTCCTTATCTAAAAGTTGCCCCAAATGAGATGGCTGGAGGGATTTACACAACATAATATTCAGGTTGTGGTACAATGTATTTTTCATAAGCACCTGAAATTGGAGCACAATTTATTCTACTTCCAACAAAAAAGATTGTCCTAATTCTTAAATAAAATGATTCATACACAAACTGTCCTATGTCTAGAAGGCTTTAGAAATGTGTTTAGCAGTATTTTGAAGCCTTAGGAGGCAAATAGCAAGAAAGTAGAGCAGAAGCGGGGCAGAGGGCAGGGCACGGGAAAAGGAAGGACACAGGTGATGCAGAGACACTGCCAGGACCAAAGAAGTCGCTTTGTGGAGCTTCCCCTTTGATTCTTTTCATCTTATATACACAGTAGGCTTGATTACTTCTGCTTGAACCCAGGAGAGTTTATTAAGTTAGGTGACCTCTTTACTATAATGTTTTACTCAAGTTGTTCTTTTGCTCTTTCATTTATATGTTCTTGGCATTTCTTTTTTATTCCTTAGTTGTTTTTTTTTTCAATTTTTACAAAATTTAAGTGGATTTTTTTTTTCTTCCAACTTTTACAGAAGCTAGAATCCACTGACAAACTTCAGTTTCTTAGCTTTTTCATCTTTAAGGTTAAATTCTTAACATGGGGAAGAATGACCGCTTTTTAAAAACATAATTTTAAAATCTGCCTTCCAATCCTAATGTAACATTGGAGGAAAGTAATTCAAGTCTTATCTATACCCAGGGCTTCTGGAGGTCTGTGAGATGTCTGTGTTTAAAAGTGTCATGTCGGTAGAAAATTTGCATTTTTTACTGGTAATTTGGTGTGATAGGTGGGCAATCCTGATTAGAGTCTGTCATTTTGAAGCAGCTGAACATCATCATTCTCCGTCTGCTTTCTATATACTCTATGAGTTCTGAAAGATCTTTTCAAGGATGATGAAGGATGGAATCTTTCTTAAAGTATATTTTGAATCTCATCCAACAGATATGACATAATAAATCTTCAAGCTATTTTTGACCATATGTCACAACTCCTGAAAGCAAATGAAGGCTTTCACAGCTTTAAGGGATTATTTAACATTGACAGCTGTTGAGGCATTTATCCTGATTTTTCTTCTTTCTTTCCATCAAAAGTATCTACATAAGATGGCATGGCTTGTGGGTTGGATGAGATATAAAATGCTTGATGTATTATGTGATACCATATAAATTTCTTATGTTCCTTCATGTTAATCCAGTTAAGTTCAACTACAAATAGCTGCACCAACTGTGTGCCCAGGCCTTGGGAATGTAAGAATGAGATAACGTAAAGAGGGAAATGCAAAGAAGAGATTTTTAAAAAGGCATGATATGAGGTTATGAACGAATGATTTTTTAAAATCAGCATTGCATCAGAGCACAGAATGTTGACTTTGGGAACAATAGGCTGGTAACAAAGATGTCTAGATTTTAACAAGTGTGACTTAGAGCAAATCATCAACACCCCCCCCCAACCCCCCCGCCGGGACCTAGTATCTTCAGCTATGAAACATATGGCTTGAACTAGCTGATTTTTTAGATTTCCTATGATTTAGAAAGTTCCCTATATTGTTTCAGAAGACAATGGTAGACAATGGTAGATGGACTCTACTATGTGCTATACTTATATAGTGAAACAGTATGTAGGTACCCTTTTGGAAATCAGTGAATTGTAAAGTTATTTAACTAAATTATTTAAGCTTTTAAAAGAATAATACTTTACTTGTAAGTGCAGTTTAAAATTTTAGAAAGTTGAGAAATTTTAGATGCTTTTCATATCTAAAATTTCAGAAGGAAAAACTTGATTGCTGACTCTCATTGCCCTTATGAAAACCATATTCCTAAATAATTTGTTAAAGAAATACAATACTGGTTAAATTCAGGTCTTACTTGAAATTTTTTAGTAGCAGGACCAAAACTAGTATTTAGTTTCTGCTAGTTATTAAGCTGTAGACTACTATATGTTCTAATAAAAATAAAATTTGTGGCACTAGTATTATACATTTTACGATAAAAAAATTGGAGAACAACAACAAAAAACCCATCAAACAAAAACAAAACACACACATATGGCTTTGAATCCACCACTGCAAGATTCATTCATCAAGTTTTACTAAGTATTTACTCCTTACCAATGCTAGATGAGAATGGAATAGCTGATGGAGCCCTCATTTTATAAAGTTTTCTATACAACTAATTTCAATCATAAGTTTATATACACATTATTATATTAAAACCAGTAATAATTACATTGGTGTGCAAGATACATATAATTTATTTTTAAAACCTTGTTACTCAAAACTGCCTATGTAAGGAATATAACACTAATAATCAATTGCAGAAAGGTGCAACATATCACAATGGGGGGGTAATATTAGTTATTTGGTTTGTCTGATCAATATAGAAAACCACTAATGCAATATTTGCCTCAAAGTATGGTTTTGGCCATAAACTTCCAGAGAAATATTGACTCGTCACTTTCATGTCTAGATAATTATTAATATTTTCATTACGTTTTCCAATACATCAAGAGTTCTTTTCACTGAAAAACTTACATGTTAATTCTGCTAATATTAATTTATATTAGTGCTATGTTATGATATTTCATCAAGTAGAAAATGATTTTTAAATAATCGTCATCATCATTAAATACAGTATTAAATGCAGTAAATGTGTTGTGTAGATTTAAATGTTTGTGGAATTCTTAACCTAACTTTATTGTATAAAATTCAGTAGAAAAGCATGTGAATTTAGGCCTTTAATTGAAAATATTATGGCAAAAGATTCCCTATTTCCAAACTGTCAGCTACAAAAACTGATAATACTGCCAGAGTTTTCCCCAAGGTTGAAGAACCAGCAGTAATTAAAGACCATTTATCCAGTCAAAAAACAGAGACACAAAATACAGTATGATATCAGCTTGGCTGCCACAGCCTCAAGGGCAGGAAATCCATCACAGTGACAACAGTTCATAACCAGAAACTGGGCAGAATGACTTTAAATGAGTAGAAGCAAAGACAGAATTTTGTATGGAAGCCAGCTAGATATTACTGTCAGAAAGGTGCCACCAGAAGTTATTTCAGCCTCACAATGGAGAAAGACAACCATAAGGTAGATAATGGTGAACACACACCCTAGAAGCCAAAAGAAAAGTTAGCCTTGAGAAGGGCAGCTTAACATGTGAACAGGTGTCATTGATTTAGAAAACTCAATGTGGCTTGCCTCTCACACTCTTGGCCACCTAAACCTAATTTTAGATACCACATGCCACAAATTCAGGGGATGCCATTTACCTAGAATGCAGTGTGTTGATATCTTATTAAAATCCAGTAGCACTAATTCTAAAATTATAAAGCTAAAGCTTGAACCTTAACTGTGTCGGGAAATTTTAAGACAATAGCCAAGAAACAGGTTCTAAATGAAAAATTAGGGGAGGATCGAGAGCACACAAAATCTCCAAAAAATGACACTGTGGCATAATTTTACATTAAAAGTGAAGACACACTGATACTTACAGATTAGAATACCCGGGGACCCATACTTTCTCTGAACTCGTCTATGTAAGAAAACCACTAGTGCATGGAGATCCTTGGGTTGTACTGCAAATACAGGTCTACTGTTAAAGTCCGTTGTTTTCATTTAGACCACCAATGAATCCTTTTATAATTATTTCAATGACAACTGATGATTTTAAAAAAATATAAGCAGAAAAAATGCTTTTGTCTTTTATGGTTAAACAGCAAATAAAACTCAGATCTTTCCTTAAAAAGGATTATTTTAGGCCAGACATGTTGGCTCACGCCTATAATCCCAGAACTTTGGGAAGTCAAGGTGGGAGGACTGTTTGAAGCCAGGAGTTTGAGATCAACCTGGCCAACATAGTGAGACCCTGGCTCTACAAAAAATTGGAAAATATAAAATTGGCTGGGTGTGGTGGCCCATGCCTGTAGTCCCAGCTACTGAGAAGGTAGAAGCGGGAGGATTGCTTGAATCCAGGAGGTTAAGACTGCGGTGAGCTATGATGGCACCACTGCACTCCAGCCTGAGCAACAGAGCAAGGCCCTGTCTCAAAAATAATAATAATAAAATACAAATATGATTTTAATCAAAGCGTGTTCCCTTAAAATTATATGAAGAACGTCTCCATTACGGTATTATCAGTAATAAAATTAACCACTTAAGGTAATTTAGGAAAGAATCATTTTACTTAATGGCTTCTGTCCAAATTCATTTACCTCAAATTACCCTACAAATACAGTAAGGACAAGTTTCAAATCATGCGCCCTGTGCAACAACTCCGCTGTGAGTGGATGGCATATATTTTTGAACATAAAATATATTGTTTTCAGAAAATAAGATAAATGAATATAATTTGATAATAAATAGTATGTTGTCCAAAGAGACCTCAGGAGAAATATACATACCATGGAGTCTAGGAAAGAAAAATAATTGTTTTGGAAACATTAGAAATATTTACCTTGTAAGCTTCTAGTTCCCATTACCTAGACTTTAACAGCGACCAAATATTTTCCCCAATTTTCTACGTTCCATCATTAAGACATTATTTTTAATGTAATACTTATTACATCTATTCAATCTATCCATTATTTGCTTCAGTATCAGGCAGATATTTTTCTCAATGCTGGAGTATCCGTGAGAAACAGAGATAGGCAATATATTGGGCGTGAAAGGGAACTTATATGGGGGGGTAGGGAGGAGGATGTTTCATAAAGTGCAGGGAAGGTAAGAAACAAGCAAGCAAATAAATACAAAAATGGCTGTGTGATAAATGCTACTAAGGACATAAGACAGGATGATACAATGAAGAGTACTAGGGGAGGACATTTTCACAAGGAGGAGGGTTAAATAAGATATTTCCTCTGGAATTCCTTCAAGCTAAAGACCATATAGAAAGTTACTGTGTAACTGTGTCTCTCCTGAGCAGTATGTGTGATCACAGTCCTATTGTGTTACCTTTAAGATTCTCCTTTCTACAAAACAAATAAATTAGATCTGAGAAAGACCCATACACATGTTCTTTCAGCCTTGTACCATGGTTATCTGTGCATGGGAATTGCCATAGTATATCCAACAAATACTCCCCACAATATAAACTAGAGTAGCTTTTACTCATAAAGATGCACCTTCCATTTTCATTTCAGGAATGAATCCTCCCTGAGTGAGGGAGAGGCAGAAAGGAGAACTAATTAATGGCTCAACATTTCAAGTCCTAGGAAAACAACCTTATTTAGCTAGACAGCTACAAATCTTGTCAAGACTTCGAAATAGATGTCTAGTTTTCTTTTTTTTTTAATATTGATCGACAGATACATGGATGAAGGTATACTCCTTCTCATTAGTATCTCTGGTTCTCCTCTTTCTTGTCACATAGGATGAACTGCGTTTCTCTACTTCTTTGAATTTAAGTGAGGAATGTGATACATTTCAGTCAATAAAATTTTAGTACAAGACATGCATCACTTTCCAGTACAAATTTTTTTTTGCTGGTCCTAAACCTTTCGGAGCTTTCTTCCCTTACTTGGGAGATCATGGAAGCAGATGCTACATGAAGGCTCAACACTGAGCCACAGCTTGCAGGATGATAGAAGAAGTACCAAGAACCCCACTGAAATTTAAGAAAGAAACATACCTTTGTGGTTCTAAGACACTGGAATTTTGGAGTCATCTGTTATCACAGAATAACCTACATTATCTGTTGAGGGTTGAATTTTGTCTCTCCAAAATTCATATGTTGACATCCTACCCCACAGTAGCTCAGAATGTGACCTTATTTGGAAATATGTCACTCCAAATGTAATTAGTTGGGTAAAGATAAGGTCATAGTGGAGTAGGGTGGTCCCTTAATCCAATAAGAACTAGTGTCTTTATAAAAAGGGGAAAGTTGGACACAGACACACATAGAGGGAGAAGGCCATATGAAGTGTATTAGTCCATTCTCATGCTACTAATGAAGACATACCTGAGACTGGTAATTTAGAAAGAAAAGAAGTTTAATTGACTCACAGTTCTACATGACTGGGGAGGCCTCAGGAAACTTAGAATCATGGCAGAAGGTGCCTCTTCACAGGGTGGCAGGAGAGAGAATGAGAGCGGAGTGAAGGAGGAAACTCCTTGTAAAATCATCGGATCTGGTGAGAACCCACTTACTATCATGAGAACAGGATGGGGGAAACCACTGCCATGATTCAATTATTTCCACCTGATCCCACCCTTGACATGTGGGGATTATTACAATTCAAGGTGAGATTCGGGTGGGGACACAGCCAAACCATATCATGAAGATAAAGGCAGAGAGTAGGATGATGGAGCAGAAGCCAGTGAACACCAGAAATTGCCCACAAACCACCAGAAGCTACAAGATGCTAAAACAGATCACAGCCCTAAAAGGGAACCCTGCTGACACCCTTATTCCTTATTCCTTACGTCTCTATTCTTTTCCATATATTATCTTTCTCCTGGGGAGACAGGCAGGTGACATACAAATCTGAGACTTTCAGCCTCCAGAACTGTGAGACTATAATTTCTGCTAAGTCACCCAGTTTGCGGTTCTTTGTAACTACAGCCCCAGCAAATGAATACACTATTCTAATACAACTATCTATTGTTTCAAGCAGAAGATAATGTATGTTAGGGGAGAGGAGGGAACAACTAATAGTTACAGTAAGTAACAAGGAGATACAATCTGTTTTCCTGAAATTACCTACTTGTCATTTAAAATTTCTTTCATTATCATTTTAACAGTAGGGATAATTTTATACCTGATTTCTATAACTAAGAAAATATGCTTCTGTTCAAAATTAAAGTGTCCACAACTTAAATAAAGAAAACGAGAAAGTTCATTCAACTTTCTCGGAGGCCATTTTCATATTTACATGATCCTGTTCTGTTGTCTCTTAATTATGAATGCTGAAGCTTTTAAGCTTTAGAGGATCCAATATGTTTGCAATGAATGATTAAGGGTTCATAAAGTTTTTACCAGCACATTAATCTCCAGGTGCAGAGAAAGTCAAGACACTTGTTACAATTCTCCAGCCCTCGCACAAGGTTGCCTCAGGAAATGTGGTAAACAGCTACAAAGCTGGCTCCCTGAGATAGCACCTAAACACATCAACTTCAAAGAAATGCCGTCTAAAAAAATAAGTATTCTACTTTTAGTTAGTTGGCCTAGTAAATAAAGAGAACTTTATTTTACAAGACTCTTTCTTTCTGAAATGAAACACTCCATGAACAGCAGTTCATGACGCAGAACTTAGAAAAGCGGTAGATGCTTGATATTTGAGAGGGTTGTGTCTTTAGTCCCCTGCACAGAGTACTAGGGGTCTCGAGGGAGAATACTTGCAGACTAACAGGATGAATGGAGAAAAGAGACACAATGAAACATGCCTGTTAGGCCAGCAACTAGGACCTTCCACCAGCCTCACTTCAACCAATTCAACCATAATAATTCCTTTCTCTTAGAAATCCCACACCCCATGGCTTTTTAGATAATGACTATCATTTTCTTGCCATCTTTTTGCCTCCATCTTGGGTTTTCTTTCCTGGCTCTTGATTTTTGAGTCTACCTGCTAAAGAGTGATTTCTCCAAGGCTTATTCCTCACCTCTCTATTCTTTTCCATATATTACTTTTCTCTTGGGGAGACAGGCAGGTGACATGGAAAAACTGCAGGTTTTAAAGCCAAACATACCCAAGCTGAAGGCAGGCTCCAGATTTGTTAGTTGATCAAAACATCAACCTCCTTGAGTTTCTTTTCCTTCGTTTGGAAATAATCATACTGAGAGGTGACAGCGTGCTGGCAGTCCTCACAGCCCTCCCTCGCTCTGGGCGCCTCCTCTGCCCGGGCTCCCACTTTGGCGGCACTTGAGGAGCCCTTCAGCCCACCGCTGCACTGTGGGAGCCCCTTTCTGGTCTGGCCAAGGCCGGAGCCGGCTCCCTCAGATTGCAGGGAGGTGTGGAGGGAGAGGCGCAAGCGGGAACCGGGGCTGCGTGCGCCGCTTGCGGGCCAGCTGGAGTTCCGGGTGGGCGTGGGCTTGGCGGGCCCTGCACTCGGAGCAGCCGGCCGGCCCTGCCGGCTCCGGGCAATAAGGGGCTTAGCACCCGGGCCAGAGGCTGCGGAGGGTGTACTGGGTCCCCCAGCAGTGCCAACCCACCGACGCTGCGCTCGATTTCTCACCAGGCCTTGGCTGCCTTCCTGCGGGACAGGGCTCGGGACCTGCAGCCCGCCATGCCTGAGCCTCCCACCCCCTCCATGGGCTCCTGTGCGGCCCAAGCCTCCTCGACAGCTCCACCCCCTGCTCCAGGGCGCCCACTCCCATCGACCACTCAAGGGCCGAGGAGTGCAGGCGCAGGGCGCGGGACTGGCAGGCAGCTCCACCTGCAGCCCGGGTGCGGGATCCACTGGGTGAAGCCAGCTGGGCTCCTGAGTCTGGTGGGGCCTTGGAGAACCTTTATGTCTAGCTCAGGGATTGTAAATACACCAATGAGCACTCTGTCTCTAGCTCAAGGTTTGTAAAAACACCACTCAGCACCCTGTCTCTAGCTCAAGGTTTGTAAACACACCACTCAGCACCCTGTGTCTAGCTCAGGGTTTGTGAATGCACCAGTGGACACTCTGTATCTAGCTACTCTGGTGGGGCCTTGGAGAACCTTTATGTCTAGCTCAGGGATTGTAAATACACCAATCTGCACTCTGTCTCTAGCTCAAGGTTTGTAAACACACCAATCAGCACCCTGTGTCTAGCTCAGGGTTTGTGAGTGCACCAATCGACACTATCTAGCTACTCTGGTGGGGCCTTGGAGAACATTTATGTCTAGCTCAAAGGGTTTGTGAGTACACCAATGGACACTCTGTATCTAGCTACTCTGGTGGGGCCTTGGAGAACCTTTATGTCTAGCTCAGGGATCGTAAATACACCAATTGGCACTCTGTATCTAGCTCAAGGTTTGTAAACACACCAATCAGCACCCTGTGTCTAGCTCAGGGTTTGTGAATGCACCAATCCACACTCTGTATCTAGCTACTCTGGTGGGGCCTTGGAGAACCTTTGTGTGGATACTCTGTATCTAACTAATCTGGTGGGGACACGGAGAACCTTTATGTCTAGCTCAGGGATTGTAAATGCACCAATCAGCGCCCTGTCAAAACAGACCACTCCGCTCTACCAATCAGCAGGATGTGGGTGGGGCCAGATAAAAGAATAAAAGCAGGCTGCGGGAGCCAGCAGTGGCAGCCCGCTCAGGTCCCCTTCCACACTGTGGAAGCTTTGTTCTTTTGCTCTTTGCAATAAATCTTGCTACTGCTCACTGTTTGGGTCCACGCTGCTTTTATGAGCTGTAACAATCACCGCGAAGGTCTGCAGCTTCACTCCTCAAGTCAGCCAGACCACGAGCCCACCGGGAGGAACGAACAACTCCAGACGCACTGCCTTAAGAGCTGTAACACACACCGCGAAGGTCTGCAGCTTCACTCCTGAGCCAGTGAGACCGCGAACCCACGAAAAGGAAGAAACTCCGAACACATCCGAACATCAGAAGGAACAAACTCCAGATGTGCCACCTTAAGAGTTGTAACACTCACTGCGAGGGTCCGCGGCTTCATTCTTGAAGTCAGTGAGACCAAGAACCCACCAATTCCGGACACAATACTTCCCTTAAAAGTTACTTATGAGATTTACATAAACTCAACTTCAACTTGTGTAAAGTGCACAGTACATGGTAAGCACTCCACAAAGTCTAATGCCTGACTCTTGACGATCTCACTCAATGTTCTAATTTCAACTTGCTTTCACACCATAAACTGGGAAGGCTAGTCAAAAGAAAGGTAGGAATGGAAAGCCACATTAAACACAGGGGCATATTGAATGAAAGTGGGGGAAGAGGAAGGATTTTAGAATTAGAGAAAGCAGATTTTAGAACCAGAGAATGCAATTCAGGAATGACTTGGGTCTTCGACGCCATCAGTAGTTAATAATTCAAGAATTAGGCAATGTCCAAGGCTGAAGAGTTTTCACAAAATAATCCTCAAATGTTTTGAAGGCTCCATGGATTTATTAAGCCCATGCAAATAGAGCTTATCATTTAAGAATCACTCAAAGTAGTCTCAAAACACAAGTAGGGTACATAAGTTAAGCTTACAAAGCTAATTCATATGTGCAAAGGTATGTCATGCTGGAGGGAAAGGTTGGCACATTACAGGAATTGGGGAAATGAACCAGTGACATAAATGGCAAGAGTTTTGGATTAGGAAACCATCATTAGCCCATATGTAATATACACCAATGCTTCTCAATATCTACTTTAATCCATGTTCTGTTTGAGTTTTGGATTAGGAAACCATCATTAGCCCATATGTAATATACACCAATGCTTCTCAATATCTACTTTAATCCATGTTCTGTTTGAATAAACACAAATATGTCTTAGTTGTTCAAATTTTATTTAAAATCTCAATGTAAATAAATTGGTAAGACTAAAAGAAGCAAAACAATGGGCCAAAGTGCCACTACATTTGATCATTAGTATAAACAAAAAGACAAGTTGTATAGCTTCCACTTGAGGCTTACTATTTCATGGTAAAAAGGGTTAATACTCATAGACATCTTATAATTATGACCGTCATGTAAATATGATAGTAATTCTCAAAGAAGCGCTGAAGCAAAAGATATCATATTTTAAAACAGATGACAATTGACTCAAGTGTTTCCAAATCAAAGGGTAATGCTTATTAGATCAGCTATTGTTAATTGGCTGAGGAATACATTTCTAATATACTTTAAAATATTTTATATCACTTTAAGCAAACTGAACAAGTGAATATACAATGCCTTGCTTTGTATGCAGTAGAAAAATCTGTCTCATAGTATCAAGGCTTACTTATAATCCTGAAAATAGTATGAGATGCTACTTGAAAAATAGTTATTACTATGGTTGGCTGGATAAAGTTATTTTTTTCTAAAAGCAAATAGGCTGAAGCATGACTGCAAACCAATTTCAGCTATAACAGCTACCATGTAGCACATAGCATCACCTCACTACCTAACACATTCTAATAAAGTTTACTGTAACATAAAATATTGCTGTATTGTTAATGATACTGCAACTTGAAGCGACCCAGAGAAAGCATTTGCTATTATTATTTTTTATTGTTAGCATAAAGATAAACCCAGCTAAGATGGCATCTCAATTTTTTCTTCCACCTAGATTAACTACATCTTTTCTGAAATACACTGCTCTGGTATCATAGATATTAGAAAAAGTCAATAGTAATTAAATGCATTAACGAGTTTTACATTGGAGCATCTGGTGGCTGACACAGCTTATAAATCTGAAAACCCGAAAGTACCTGATCCCTCAACTAGAATGCTATTGAATTTTTAAAAAGAATTTTGTTTTAAATTTAGCATCATCAAATTCGAGAATGAGACAATCATTTAGTAAGGATTGGAAAACATTTTTGTAGAGGGTCAGTTAGCATAAATGTTAGGCATTGTAATAAGGTCCCTGCTGCAACTACTCAACTCTGTGGCTATGACACACAAGCTTCCATGTACAACATGTACATGAACGGGCATGATGGTGTTCCAACACAATTTTATGTGTGAAAACTGAAATTTAAATATTATATAATTTCCACTTGTCAGGAAATATTCTTTAAAACATTCCCCTCCCCCAACCATTTAAAAACGTAAAAGCCATTATTAACTTGTGGGCCACACAAAACCAGACAGCAGGGCACATTTAGCCCACAGGCCATAGTCTGCCAAACCCTATTTTAATACAACATCTAAATGAATGAACTAGGAAAAGATCTAGATGAGGAACTACACATAGAGCAGAAGTTTTCTCAGCTCAAAGATTTGCAATACATTTTTAACTGGAGAAAAAGCTAAAGCTTTAATTTTGTGAGTAATATAAATTACTTTTAAAGACAAACTCATTTCCTTGCTCCAATAACCTGGTCCTCTCCACATGCTGTCTATCTCAATGATATACCCAGTTGCCCAGCCCTTCAATTAGACATTATCTTTGATTCTTTTCTCTCTCTCTTAAACTTATCCAATCACTTGCTCCTGCCAGATCTTGCCCTTAAATAACTTTCAAAATTATCTGTAATGTATTATCCTGTTATAGACCACCATCCCTTCAAGCTTAGATTATTTTAACAACCTTTTCACTGGTCTAGATGCCTTCAGGCTTACTGGACTCCAGTCCATTATCTTCATTGCAGCTGGAGCTTTCTATTTTTCCATGACAAATTGATCATATTAACTCTTCTATGTATGCCAATGACTTCATATGTCCTCAGGATAAAATACAAATTCCTTGTCATGGCTTACAAGATCTTTCATAAATAAACTATTTCCTAAAGGTTCATCCTTACCTTAAACTGTATTTTATGAAATACAGCCACTAAAAAGTGGGAAGTGTTGGAGCTCCTAGCAGCTTCTACTCCTTCCACAGAAGTACGCATTCTTCAGGGAAATGCAGAAGTTGAGGGAGCTATTATATCTCTTCTATGCAAAGTGCAGATGCATCAGAAAGAAACACCTTTGACCAGTCCCCACAGCTGCAAAGAAGAGAGTGGTATTGTGTGGGAGTGGGAGGTTCTTGCAGCAACAAGTACTGAAGTTTTTCTAAGTTTACACTTGTTGAATGACAACAACTTTCCTTACTCATAAAATAAGAATGAGCACTTATGGCTCAATTCCAAATTGACATAAAATATCTGCAAAGCACTTTGGGATTACAGATGAGGAGGCTCACATAATTAAAACATGTGATGAGATTACATCAGGAAGCCAGTGTATTGCTAAGAAGAAGAAATTAACAAAAGGCTGACTTGTTATTTTAGTGTCCTCCCTGGAATTGTTAACTTTTTATGTTACTTTCTCTGTCTTGCTCAACTGTAAATATTTGGCTCTTGTGATAAAAATGCACAAACATAAAGTCTGAGAAGCTACTAACTGGAAGTGAGAAAAAAACTCCAGTGGTGGATAAAACAAATAATGAACACTAGAGAACTATGAGCAAGAGTGGAACCTGGCCAGGCGCGGTGGCTCACGCCTGTAATCGCACACAGCACTTTGGGAGACTGAGGCAGGCAGGTCACGAGGTCAAGAGATCGAGACCATCGTGGCCAACATGGTGAAATCCCATCTCTACTAAAAATAGAGCGAGACACCGTCTCAAAGAAAAAAAAAAGAGTGGAACATGATTAAGTGGATGAAGTTCATCAAAGCAGGGAAGTTCTTTTTGGAAAACTGGATCTACTCTGCAATTTTTATACTTTACTCTTTTTTTTTTTTGACTGAGTTTCTATTGCCCAGGCTGGAGTGCAGTGGCACCATCTCAGCTCACTGCAACCTCTGCCTCCCAGGTTCAAGCAATTCTCCTGCCTCAGCCTCCCGAGTAGCTGGGATTACAGGTGCCCACCACCACGCCTGGCTAATTTTTGTATTTTTAGTAGAGATGGGGTTTCACCATGTTGGCCAAGCTGGTTTCGAACTCCTGACCTCAGGTGATCCACCCACCTCGGCCTCCCAAAGTGTTGGGATTATGTGCGTGAGCACCGCGCCCGGCCTACAGTCCCTTTTTTAATTTAAAGAGGGTGTTAATAAAAGAGGGTGTTATTATTTGTATCCATGGAGTGCAGAAGAAAGAATTTCTGCTAAGGAGACTAACCCAGCCAACAATCATCATCTAGGTGAATAAATAAAACTCATTTCAATCTCTGACCATCAGGACCTCCATGACAGGGTGCCCACCTGCGTTTCACACCTTAATTCTAGACAGCCTCTGTTTCATACTGGATGTCCTGGCAATACCACAATGCCTGTAATTCCTAACCCATCCCTTAATGTGTGGTGGTTGACTTCCTCCTTTTCCTAGTCTTTCCTTATACTTCATCTCGGACCCTTCCTTATGGATTAAGGAACCTTCCTCATCTGTACTTTTATCACAGCATGCATGGGCATCCTTACATTGTGCTTTGTTCACTCATTTCACAAATATTTATTAAGTGCCTATACTATATCTATCCCTGCTCTCAGTCATGGGTATTTGGCTCAAGAATTCAATGTCTTGTGCCTTTACACAGTACAGTGCCCTTAGCTACTTGAAGATGAGAATTCTGAATTATGTTTCTTGTACCTTTCTATATGTAGTAGACAATCAATAAATGTTCACTTAATAAAGAAGCAGATTAACTAATGAATGAAGAGATGCTCAAAGAAGTTTTATTTTGTTTTTATTGTTGTTGTTGTCATTTTAAGTATCTGGAAGTTTGAAAGCAGGAATGTCTTCTGAGGCTTGATAAAGGAGGATTCCTTATTGAATCTTATACAAGACATTTATTACTGGATGGGACAAAAGAATTTTGATAAAAACACTGTTTCATATATAATAAAACAGTTCCACTTAGATATGGAAAACAGAATAAAATCAAATGTTAATGCAAGTATCCAGATTACGTT
Organism: Homo sapiens; assembly: GCF_000001405.40. Lineage (NCBI taxonomy): Eukaryota > Metazoa > Chordata > Mammalia > Primates > Hominidae > Homo > Homo sapiens. The sequence goes on along the minus strand of NC_000013.11, from coordinate 93,448,654 downwards.
ACTCAGTCTTGTTTGACAATATTTACAGAGGCAAGTCTCCTATTTATATTCTTATTTAATTAGTATCTGGATAATAGTCCTTTGTGAGCTTTTGATCATGGTGATTTTCATATGGAAAAATATCCTCCATGAAAGTACTTCAACTTACACTATGCCTTTCTAAGAAGCTCAAAATTCACACGTAGTCATACATCACTTAATGACAGGGACATATTCTGAAAAATGAGTGTTAAGAGATTTCACTGCTGTGCAAACCTCATAGAGTGTACTTACATAAACCTAGATGATATAGCATACTGTACACCAAGGCTATATGGTATAGTCTTTTGCTCTTAGGCTACAAACCTGTGCAGTATGTTATTCTATTGAATAATGTAAGGAAATTATACCACAATGATAAGTATTTCACAACAGGAATTTTTAAGCTATATTACAATCATCTGGGACCATCATCACATATGTGGTTCATCCTTGACCAAAACATCATTATGAAGCACATGTCTGTAATTATCAATTCATTGTTAATTAAGTCTAACTCCACTCTAAGGAAGTTGTTTATAACTAAAGCCATCATACAGATACTTAAGAAAGACACAGAGAAAAGTATACAGCATAGGTGTGGTTTCCTTGGCCCTATGTGCAGAATCATGTACAAGATTAAAGGGAAAAAAACTTGACATCTAGTTTAACTCAGCAATGAATAGACATTATTTATGAACAGCGGCATGCACATGCCTGATTAAATCTATTTTTGGTTTAGTTCATTAATGCTCAGGCTATCAGACTTAACTCTTTTCTGAAAAACCCTTTGATAATGATGAGAGGTTCACTGAAACAATGAAAAGCTATTATACAAACAGGCATTGAACTCCTCCAAGGCAACTCGATGAAAATTGTACAGAGAAATGTATAACCAAGATCCAGGTTATCAAGACATAAACTCATCTGATAATTGAAATTGAAAGGACTGATAATTTAGTTTATATAACATTTCATGTATATGAACTAAAGACTTAAGTTTTGCATGATCATTTTAAGTTTGAGTTTTGAATATTTAATAGAAATGCTCATTTGGGGAATACGGCCAATTAGAATGTCTTGATCAAAAGTAATGTGTGCATCCTTTTCTAGAAAAGGGATTGATTTCCTCATCACGTAACTTTGGTGAGATGGAGCAGAATGGACAGAGGGAATTAACCTATGGTCTAATGTGCCAAACCAATCTGTGGAAGAAGGTATTTTACTCTAAAAAACTTCTGTGCACATGCTGATGATGGGCAAAATCAGAAAAAAAAGGTTAACATAATCTCTCCTAAACATGTGATGAGAACATTTGCATGTTTTTGCTTTAATTTGGTTTTGAACCTGAATATCTAAAATGTAAATGTTACAGCTAATAGAAGAGAAATTCCATATAAAGAAGCAACAAATTCTCAACTTTATACTGTAACTGTTTTGCCACTAACATAAGAATTTGATAAAGTCATGAGTTAATGACAATGACAGCTAGAATCAAGTTTCAGTGGCCCCTTATATAGCAAAGCAGTCTGCAGCCATGATGCATTTGGCTAAATGAATGGATTTTAGATTCAGTCTCCTACTTAATTCTTGCTTACTCTGTGATGTAAGGCAGGTTACTGGCCTTTCAAACCAGAGAACCTGACACAGCAAGCACCACCACCCACCCCCCCAAAAAAATTAGTAAAATACTTTATATTTCTGCTAATGGCATTGATTTTTTTAAAAATTCTTTTTTTATTTTCATAAATCTGAAACTTATCAAACAAAAAATAAAAAAGTAATGACACTCACAAAAAATAAATTTCAACAGTTTAAAAAATAAAGCTACAGAAGTACCTTATTAACATTAACCTCGTTCAAGTTCATATTTTCAAAGAAAAAGCAAACATCGAATCTAACAGCAAGAGACAATTTCTACATATCTTTCAGTCACATTGTTACCTCAATCGAACAATTCATCCTGAGCAGTGTCTTAAAGCTCCATTTATACTACTACAGACAAAATAACTGAGGAGAATCAAGAAAACGGGTTGTAGTCATCATGCTATGTCTAATTATTCCTGTAGACATGCCACTTCTGCTGCTTTTTCATGTGTACAAAGAGTGGTTTGTAATGGGTCATAAAAACCCAACTTGGCTGTAAAAACCTATTCTAGCTAAATTGATGATCCTAGCAGCTACTAATACCCTCCTATCTAGAATCACTGCAAAATAATTTGTGATTGCAGTATTTCTGAATGAGTGCTCAAATTACCTAACAAAGATGATCTCAGTGGTGCAGCAAGACACGTGGGATGCTGAATTTTCAGGCCAAAGACCTAGACAAAGGAAGTCTGCTCTAGGATGAAAAACTGGGGGTTCTAATCACATCTCTGAGCACTTTTGAGTGAAAGGAGCTTGCAGGAGCTAGGATGGAATGCATTCCAAACTAGCTACAACATCCCTATACTCTTACTCTTGACCTTGGAAGGTTTAACCTTAGGAAGTTTAAAAAATATATGTACAATTGAATTTTAAAAAGTGAACAAGTAGGTGTCTGGTTTAGTCATAAACCCAAGAAGATTTCTTTCAATCATTCCTATTATCTCCCATTATTTTAGCATGATTACTAAAAACACTATCTGTCCTTATTCTGATAGACAACCTTTTTATCCGTTTCCTTCACCCTCTCTGCCATATTTGCCTATGAAGGTGTATTTCCTCTGTCTCAAAGCCCAGTGGAAATTTCTTTAAAAAGAATAGCTTTCCTGAAGAGTTCTTTGTATAACCATTAATATTTGCTTAAAATCAAAGTGTAGTAAATAAAATTCCTGACATTCATATATTTGTAGCCTGTCTTTGATTTTTCCATCATTCATTCATTCAATAAGGATTTATTTAAAGCCCACTGTGTCCTTGACAATATGCTAGGCACTAGAAAAGCTGAATAAGATCCCATTAACAAGTTCACATCCAGAATGGATGACATAACATTACAGAATTAAATGCAAGTTAGTGTAATTAGCATTACTAGAGATGGTAGGAACATGGTGAAAGCAATAATTTGCTCTGCAGATTGCTGCAGGAGATGTGAAGAAGACAGTGAAGAGTTGACAGACTCCATTTCTCTTAAAATAGAGAAGTTTGAGCCTCTTGAATACTGATTTGAATTGTGGTTCACTTTGAAAACATCAGAACTGAGTTAGATGTTCCCAATATTACCTTTCACCTAGAATTGCAATTTAGTTTAATACAGACATCACATACAAAAATGATGCTTAAGAGCCCTGACTATGACAGTATTAGGAAGTAGGATATGCTCTTCATCCATAACCTCCCATTATAGAAAATGAGGTTACATGCACTCAGATAACTACTCTGTAAAGATAATGATATCACATTCACTATGACCTAAACATAGGCTGGTTACGAAACGAAAGAAAGGAAACATAAAAATCCCTTACTACTCCAGACGTTGGTACAGTATATTTTTCCAACTCCTCTAATACCCTCTAACTCTATTCAGTAAGAAACTATTAACTGAAATAACATTTAGGACTATAGCAGAAATGTTTGCTTCCAACTCACCATAAACAAAGACCAAGTGACAATGATATAAAGAGTTGGTGTAGCTTATAATAAAAAGTAAGTTACATATTTTGAGGATGAAAGACTGAACGTACTACTGTCTCCTATTTTAAAAGAAAATGCTAAGTTCCATACTCAGTGAAATAAGAATACCAAATTCTTCATTTGTACACTACTTCTAAAAACAATTATACTACCAAAATATTAGACATATTTGGAAATAATAAAATGTATGTGAAATGAACTGCATATGACATATACAAAGTAGGAAAAGGATTAAAAGGAAATAATTATGTTGGCTGTCAGAACCACAATGTGATATTCAAAGCTTTGAATTACATTTTTATGAGAGTTTGTGTCCTGATGAGAGGGCATTTTAAAAGAATTAAAGTAAGAACATATTTCTTTGTTTGCTTTACATGCATGGCATGTTTTTATTGTTGTTGTTGTTGTTTGTTTTGAGATGGAGTCTTGCTCTGTCACCCAGGCTGGAGTGCAGTGGCGCGATCTCAGCTTACTGCAACCTCCGCTTCCCAGGTTCAAGCGATTCTTCTGCCGCAGTCTCCCGCGTAGCTGGGACTACAGGCTCATGCCACCACACCCGGCTAATTTTTGTATTTTTAGTAGGGACGAAGTTTCACCGTATTAGGCAGGCTGGTCTCAAACCTCTGACCTCGTGATCCACCCACCTCGGCCTCCCAAAGTGCTGGGATTCCAGCCGTGAGACACGGCGCCAGGGTAGCGTGATGATGAGTTAATTTTTCAATTTCTTGTCTCTTAATAAAATGAACCTTGAAAATTTAATAGAAAAACAGTTCCCTTGCTCTCATCCCCACTTAATACCAATTTACCAAAAAAAAAAAAAAAAAAAGAAGAATTGCATTTTGACTTTTTACTGGAAATTTTTTGCTGTGGATACTTTTAGTAGTATATTTTGATAACATTTTTCAACAATTGAACATAATCAATAAACAGATTCACTAATAAATGTTGATAATTATCTGCTGGAATCTTGAGAATACAAAATATAGTGAAGTAATGGATTGATTCTCTATGGTCATGGAATAAAAATAGAATCCCATAATCTCTCCCAAGCGGATATAATGGTTACTGCTATTCTAAATGATTTCTATTTTTACATTGGCGAAAGCACTGTTTTACAAAGCACTTATTTATGGCTCTGATGTCATAAAGTATCTTCCTTGATCAAACATCACAGATACTTTTCTAATGTCTTCAGAATCAAGTTCACACTCCTTAGATCATGATTAAGGCCATTCATTCTTCAGGCCCAATCTTCAGTCCTAGATTTCTAACCTGCTTCTCTCTTCTATTGGACACCTTACATAACAGTCCCAGAAACACCAATTATTTGTGAAATCAATAACCTCAGACTAACATATCCTTGATCTTTTACAATCCCACCACGAAAAAATTTCACTCTCATTTTAAACTATGTGCTGTTGTATTCCCAAGTCTGACTTCCATTAAATATGTTGTGAATATGCCTGGTCTTCTCAAGGGCTATGCATTCCATAAGATATTCCATAAAAATTACACACTTCTTGCTACCCAATTACGAGCATTATGCTTAGCCCCCACCAAGGTGCTTAACAAAATGTGCTTAAATAAATTCAGTAAAAATTTATTACCTAATCAATCCAGTTAACATAGCCAGACTCCTCGTTCAGCTACTTATTTTGCTATCATTTGGCCAATTAGCTTCTCAAAATATTTTAATGTTAGCAAAGACCAGAAAAAAAAATTTATTCATAAGAATTGGTCCCTAGCGGTGACTCCATACATCAAATATGACTTATATCATTAAAGTTTCTGAACATCTGATAAAATCCTGAAATAGTTTCACATTATTAAAATTGATATTTTACCATTGTTTGCACTTATAAATAGTATAGGCAAAGAAGAAAATGGGCAAGTTATCTAAGGATAAACAGTTGAACTTTGAGAAGATTGCAGATAGGTGTTAGGTTCTCTAAGAAGCAAAAGTGCTCATCAAGTTATGCACATACAGATATTAATATAAAGGCTTCTACTTGTTTTCTAGAAAGAAAACAAGACCTAGAAAACTCTTAAAGCAATCTTCAAAAGACAAGCACACATGGATGTAAGATAACTAGTAGCTAAAACTGAAATGCTGGTATAATGTTATATTATAAATTACCAATCAGTATCTACTTTCTAAATAGGTATAGTTAGGGGATAAAAAACTGAGAATGTCCCTCTGATTTTTTCAATAATAAAAATATATATATACACTTAGCAGGCAATTAAATATCCAAAAAGAAAAAGCTCAAATTTTGTTAAATCAAAGATTGTCTTAATCTGCCATATTTTCCCAGCAAAAATGTATATAGCTGGCTTGTTTATAATATGTTTGGGGATAAGAAATGAAAGACATTCGTAGTCATCGCTGTGCATATCCATCTTGGAAGATACTGAAACACATGGACTTAAGCTCCTAGTGGAAGAATACTGAACAAATTTATTCTTGTAAAACTCATGCTTCCTTAGAATTTATTTGTATAGTTTCTGGGAGATGGGAGGTGGTAGAAGGATGATATAAAATTGTATATAGTAAAGAGATTGTTATTCTGAGGAACATTCATTCATTTCAGGTACACATGTAATCTTCAAAACACACAGAGTTTGATAAATCAGACCCTTTTCTCCTTTCTACCAGCATCACCCTAGTATGGGATCCCATCACTTTAAACCAGGAGGCTGCAGTAGCAATTTCACTGGTTTCTTTGCTTAGAGTCTTTCTCGCTCCAATTCCACCTGCACAATGCTGCTAGAAAATCTTCCTAAACTCCTTTTCATTATGTCTTTACTCTACTTAGGAGCCTCTGGTGGATCCTTTTCACTGATCAGATTAAATGTACTCTTCTCAGGCTGGATATCAGGGCCCTCCATTAACCTTTCCCTTTGCTCCAAAAGACCCTTTACTTCCTTTCTCTAAAGTCAAAGTGAATTCATGTCTTTATTTATCATCTATCTTCTTTTGTTCTCAAATGCCCATCCTTTCCTGTTTAAAATCCAGATCGTTCTATCCAGCAGAGAACCATCATGTCCCCAGCTAGCTGTCCTGGATTGATTCCATCCCTCCTACTCTTTCTTCTCAGAGAAAAGGTTTATGTCCAATGCCCATAACTTGTCTTCACTGGTTTCCTTAAAATTGCCTCCCTGTCAAGGCTGCAGTGAGCTGTGATCATGCCACTGCACTTCAGCCTGAGTGACAGAGTGAGAATCTAGGCAATACCATTCAGGACACAGGCATGGGCAAGGACTTCATGGCTAAAACACCAAAAGTAATGGCAACAAAAGCCAAAATTGACAAACGGGATCTAATTAAACTAAAGAGCTTTTGCACAACAAAAGAAACTACCATCAGAGTGAACAGGCAACCTACAACATGGGAGAAAATTTTTACAATCTACCCATCTGACAAAGGGCTAATATCCAGAATCTACAAAGAACTCAAACAAATTTACAAGAAAAAATCAAACAACCCCATCAAAAAGTAGGTGAAGGATATGAACAGAGACTTCTCAAAAGAAGACATTTATGCAGCCAAAACACATGAAAAAATGCTCATCATCACTGGCCATCAGAGAAATGCAAATCAAAACCACAATGAGATACCATCTCACACCAGTTAGAATGGGGATCATTAAAAAGTCAGGAAACAATGGGTACTGGAGAGGATGTGGAAAAATAGGAACACTTCTACACTGTTGGTGGGACTGTAAACTAGTTCAACCATTGTGGAAGACAGGGTGGTGGTTCCTCAAGGATCTAGAACTAGAAATACCATTTGACCCAGCCATCCCATTACTGGGTATATACCTAAAGGATTATAAATCATGCTGCTATAAAGACACATGCACACATATGTTTGTTGTGGCACTATTCACAATAGCAAAGACTTGGAACCAACCCAAATGTCCATCAATGATAGACTGGATTAAGAAAATGTGGCACATATACACCATGGAATACTATGCAGCCATAAAAAATGATGAGTTCATGTCCTTTGTAGGGACATGGATGAAGCTAGAAACCATCATTCTCAGCAAACTATCACAAGGACAAAAAACCAAATACCGCATGTTCTCACTCATAGGTGGGAATTGAACAATGAGAACACTTGGACATGGGGTGGGGAACATCACACACTGGGGCCTGTTGTGGGGTGGGGGCAGGGGGGAGGGATAGCATTAGGAGATATACCTGATGTAAATGACCAGTTAATGGGTGCAGCACGCCAACATTGCACATGTATACATATGTAACAAACCTGCACGTTGTGCACATGTACCCTAGAACTTAAAGTATAATAAAAAATCAGTGTATAATTAAAAAAATAAATAAATGCAAGACTTGCATGCTGTAAAAATAAATAAATGAATAAATAAATAAATAAAATGCCTCCCTGATCTCCACCTAGTTATTCAGCCTAACTGGAAGCTCCACAAGCCAGGTGGGTGATCTTTTTGACACCCTTCCTAATACCTAGCAGGTGCCTGGGTACTTGGTAAGACATTAAGGAATAAATGGTTTCTACTTTCCAACTTGTATTGCACTTGGTTCAGCTTTTCCTGCAAGAAAACTGTGAAATTTGATTAGCCATAACAATAAAGAAAAACAAACAAAATAATAAAACCCACAGATGAAAACCATCACTGCCATCTGCTTCTCCACTAAGGCATCTCTGCACAAGTGACCAAGTGGCAGAAACTCAGGAGGTAACAAAACTCTCGCCTGTAATTGCCCAACTTGTGACAGGGAGTTCCAGAAATCATGGAAATATCCAAGTGGTTGAAGAAATAACATCTGTGAAGAAGACTGATGATCAGAAGTTGATTATGAGAAAATTTTTTATATGATACTCTTGGCCTTGATTATCAGGTCTCAAGATATTATATGGCCATAAAATTACAGTCTAAATTATTTGTGTATTAACTCACTTATTGATTCCGCAGCACTTGTTCTACTATACTGTAATAATGATAAAGTAAGATATGGGTATTGTTGATTGTCTGTGCCACACACTGTACTAAGCAGTTCTGGAGTTTTCAGTTATTAAACATTTACAATAAAACTATTAATTATTTTGTGCCATTGTCATATGACAGAGGATAAAACTAAGGCTTAGAGAGGTTAAACAATGCTTTTAGGGACACGTACTTAGGAAATGATGACAAGAAGGTACAAACAAGATGCGTAGAAGAGGAAGATATCTGAAGTCTGTAGAAAAGCCTTATTCAGCCATGTATTAGTCAGTTCTCATGCTGCTAATAAAGACACACCCGAAGCTTGGTGTTTTATTTTATTTTATTTTATTTTATTTTTTTTATTTATTTTATTTTATTTTATTTTATTTGAGATGTAGTTTCACTTTTGTCGCCCAGGCTAGAATGTAATGGTGCAATCTTGGCTCACTGCAATGTCCACCTCCCGGGTTCAAGTGATTCTCATGAGGCTGGGTAATTTATAAAAGAAAGAGGATTAATTGACTCACAGTTCGACATAGCTGGGAAGGCCTCACAATCACGGCAGAAGAGCAAGGAATGTCTTACATGGTGGCAAGCAAGAGAAAGAACTTGCACAGGGAAACTCCCCTTTATAAAATCATCAAATCTTATGAGACTTATTCACTATCATGAGAACAGCACATGAGAACTCCCATGATTCAATTACCTCCCACCAGATACCTCCCACTGGGTCCCTCCCACAACATGTGGGAATTGTGGGAGCTCCAATTCAGGATGAGATTTGGGTGGGGACAATGCCAAACCATATCAAGGCATAACTGGTAGATATTGTAGGTTCAGTTCTAGACCATTGCAATAAAACGAATATTACAACAAAGTGAGTCACACAATTTTTTTGGTTTCTCAATGCATATAAGATATGTTTATAATATTCTGTAGTCCATTAAATGTGCAATAGCGTTATGTCTAAAAAACAATGTACATACCTTAATTTAAAATATTTTACTGCTAGAAAATGTTAATGATCATCTCAGCTTTCAGTGAGTCATTAATCTTTTTGCTGGTGGAAAATCTTGCTTCAATATTGATGACTGCTGATGGATCAGGGAAGTGGTTGCTGGACATTGAGGTGGCTGTGGCAACTTCTTAAAATAGGACAACAATAAAATGTGTCCTATCAATTGAATCTTCTCTTCATTAAACAGTTTCCTGTAGCATGCTATCCTATTTGACAGCATTGTACCCACAGTAGAACTTCTTTCACAATTGGAGTCAATCTTCTCAGACCCTGCTGCTGCTTTCTCAACTAACTTATGTAATATTGTATATCTTTTGTTGTCATCTCAACAATATTCATAGCATCCTCAATAGAAGTAGATTCCATCTCAAGAAACTGTTTTCTTCACTTATCCTTAAGAAGCAACTCCTCATTTGTTCATATTTTATCATGAGATTGCAGGAATTCATTCATATCTTCAGATTACCCTTCTATTTCTCATTCTCTTGCTATTTCCACCACGTATGCAGCAACTTGCTCCACTGAAGCCTTGAACGCCTAAGTCATCCATGAGGGTTGGAATCAACTTCTTCCAAACTCCTGTTAATATTGATCATTTGACTCTTCCCATAAATCATTAATGTTCTTAACGGAACCTAGAATGGTGAATACTTTCCAAAAGGTTTTCAATTGACTTTGCCCAGATGCCTCATAGAAATCACCCTCTATGGAAACTATAGCTTTATGACATGTATTTCTAAAATAATAAGATTTGAAAGTCGAAATGACTCCTTGATCTATGGGCTGCAGAATGGGTATCGTGTTAGCAGGAATGAAAACAACATGAATCTCCTTGTACATCTCCATCAGAGCTCTTGGGTGACCAGGTGCATTGTCAATGAGCAGTAATACTTTGAAAATAATACTTTTTTCTGAGCAGTAGGTCTCAGGAATAGGTGTCAAATATCCCTTAAACCATGCTGTAAACAGGTGCACTGTCAATCCAGGTTTGGTTGTTCCACTTATAGAACACAGTCAGAGTGGATTTATCATAATTCTTAATGGCCCTAGGATTTTCAGAATGGTAAATGATCACTGGCCTCAATTTAAAATCACCAGCTGCATTAGCCCCTAACAAATGAGTCAGCCTGTCCTTTGAAGCTTTGAAGCCAGGCATTAACTTCTCTCTAAATATGAAAGTCTTACATGGTATTTTCTTCTAATAGAGGGCTGTTTCATCTATATTGAAAATCTGTTGTTTAGTGTAGCTATCTTCATCAGTTATCTTAGTTCTATTTTTCTGGATAACTTGCTACAGCTTCTTCATCAGCACCTGCTGCTTCACATTGAACTTTGATGTCATGGAGATGGCTTCCTTCCTTCAATATCATGAACCTCTGCTAGCTTCAAAATTTTCTTGTGCATCTCCCTTACATTTTTTAGTCTTCATAGAATTGAAAGGAGTTAGGGCCTTGCTGTGGATTAAGATTTGACTGAAGGAAATGTTGTGACTGGTTTGATCGTCTATCCAGACCACTGAAACCTTCTACATATCAGCAATAAGGCTGTTTCACTTTCTTATCATGTGTGTGTTCACTGGAGTAGCACTTTTAATTTCCTTCAAAAACTTTTCCTTTGCATTCACAACTTAGCTAACTGTTTGGCGCAAGAGGTCTAGCCTTCAGCCTGCCTTGGCTTTCAACGTGCCTTCCTCACTAAGCTTAATCATTTATAGCTTTTGATTTAAAGTGGAAAATACATGACTCCTCTTTTTCACTTGAACACTGAGAAGCCACTGTAGAATTATTAACTGGCCTAATTTTAACATTGCTGTGTCTCAGGTAATAACGAGGCTCAAGGTAAAGGGAAGAGATGACATAATGGACAGTTGGTGGAGCGGTCACAACACATTTTTCAAATAAGTTTGCTTTTTTATATGGGCATGATTCATGGTGCTCCAAGACAATTACAATATTAACATCAAAGATCACTGATCAAAGATCACCAAAACAGATACTGATAACGAACTTAAAATATTGGAAATATTCCTAAAACGTGACACAGAGACACAAATTAATCATATTCTGTTGAGAAAAAAAAATGGCACCAACAGACTAATTCAAAGCAGGGTTACCACAAACCTTCAATTTGTAAACAAACCCCCCAAAAAAGCACTATCTGTGAAGCTCAATAAAGGGAAACACAATAAAATGAGGTATGCCTGTATTTAAATATATTTTAAATCTGAATTCTGAGCTGTAAGTCTCCCTGTCTATTCTAGAATATGACCTGTTGCAGTACAGTATTACACTAATCTGTAAATGTGTCCATCATATTAGTGGGCAGCAAGCCTTTTGAAGGGGTGCATTTTTTTCATGGCTATAAACTGCTCATTACACAATAAATAAGTAAAAGCATTCCCTAAGTATACATGGAATTAAAACCTGTGTTTTTGTTTTTAAATGGGCAAGCAGAAGTGTGACTCTGATTTTTCTGAACCTCTGTTTATGCCTTGGAGCTCCAGAAACTATCCCTACCATTACAGTTCCTCTCTCATTGCCTCCAGCATGTCTGTCAGATAGAACATTTAACCATCCGTATAAAAAAGTTAAATACATATCAGTTTGGAATTCTATCATGCTATCATATGGTGCTGGGATGGTACACAATATTTTTAATGTGGTCTGGGAAGAGCATTACATAGCACAAGAAAATGCCTGATTTATTATCCATACAGCTATAAATACATTGGAAAGACTTGTTTTTCACTTTTACCACTGAGAATTGGCATGCAGATGATTTCAATGTCATTTACAATGACATTTTTTCCTCCATATGTATTCCAGAGTGTCTTGTCTTTCAAGTAGGTTTCCATGATCATTGGGGCTTAGGGCCTCCATTCTATTTTTGATATAAAATTGCAATAGTCAGCTGCTAGCTTCTAGGTTACAGTTACACTTATGCAAATATCTACAATTGGTCTCAAACAGGGGGATTTACTTAAGCAACACTATGTACATCATGGCAGAACGTATGGGCTAGGATCTTCCAGGACTATGATCAGCGAGGTGACTTTCTCTGAGAGCTGCAAACCCACTGGGATCACTAAGGGTAAGTGTTATCAGTGAGCCAAGACATTCAGATTCCTGAGACATCATATATCTCACTCTGAGTCCATCTTTCTACAAAATTTGCTGGTGTCAGCAATCCAACAATGAAATCTGCTCATCCAAGAATGAGTCAGCTGAAAATTTCCGTATTTGATCCTTGCATCTGCCTTGCCTTTATAGCTTTACTTCTAATTGTTGCAAATCCTACCTCCACTCACAACTGGGCTTGCAACAGTTGGAACTAAGAAGACTCTCATGGACTGAGAAGCCCCCAGATTTTATTGGCAACTTTGTGTTATCAAGGATCTCTGCAAGCTTTGCTTCAAATTTCTCAAGGGAGAAATTGGTTTCTTTCGTTGGTGGTTTTCTGGCATAGTAAAAGGAAATTTCTCTGCTATTTGGGGCAATAATAAGAACTACCATTGTGATATCTGATTTTACAAACAAAACTAAACAAAGCAAACAAATTAACAAAAAAAAAAAATTTGGTAAAGTGACATATGAAGAACATGTATAAGCAAGTAACCAAGGCCAGGCATGGTGACTCACGACTGTAGTACCAGTGCCTTGGGAGGCTAAGGTGGGAAGATCTCTTGAAGCCAGGAGTTTGAGACCAGCCTGGGCAACACAGCAAAAATCCGTCACTAAATAATAATAATAATAATAGCTGGGCATGGTGTCTCATGCCTGTAGTCCCAGCTACTCAGGAGGCTGAGGCAGGAGGATCACTTGGGCCTAAGAGATCAAAGATGTAGTGAGCTATGGCTGCACCACTGCACTCCAGCCTGGGTGAAAGAGTGAGACCATGTCTCCAAAAATAAAAAAGTAAAAAGAAATTAACCAATATTATTTTACATGTCTCATTGATCTATAAACAATACTTTTATTCCAATAAATTCTAATGGAAGGTACTAATTTTGGCCATTAAACCTATCAATGAGGCTGGGCATAGTGGCTCACACCTGTAATCCCAGCACTTTGGGAGGCCAAGGCAGGCGGATCACCAGGTTAAGAGATCGAGACCATCCTGGCCAATATGGTGAAACCTCGTCTCTACTAAAAATACAAACATGAACTGGGCATGGTGGTGCACCCCTGCAATTCCAGCTACTTGGGAGGCGGAGGCAGGAGAATAGTTTGAACCCTGGAGGTGGGGATTGCAGTGAGCTGAGATCATGCCACTGCACTCCAGCCTGGCGACAGAACGAGACTCTGTCTCAAAAACAAACAAAAACTAAAAATCAGACTTGGGGATAAACTGTGTTATCTACAGCCTCAATCTGCACAGACTCAGGACACAGACAGATTATATGCCAGTAAGTTTTACCACCACACAGAACAGATATTAAGAGAATCAAGCTAAATAAAGAATCCTGTGCAGATTTACTCTTCCCAACTACTCATGGCTTACAATCCATTCTTGCTAATTTGTTTACCCTTATTATAACTAAAGGATTGTCTTTTCTGTCTGGGCTCAACAGATTGGCCTATTCCTCACTGTCCCCACAATATAATTGGGGGAGACAATGTTTTATCCCCCCAATTATACACTTATTCCACCAAAAATATGCCAGGTTCTTTTGGATGTGTTATCATCTGGGTTCTCTCAAGGTAATATTCTTCTGGGAAGATCCAGAGGCTCCAGGCATAATATCAGTCTATAGGCTGTGCTATGTAGTAGCTGAACCGAAACAACATAAGACTGTGGCATTTCTATTGATCTGTTCTGTGCCATTATGTCTGTGGGCCATGACTCTGTGAGAACGGTTGCATGGGCAGAGGCAAAGCCATCACCAACATGACACTCCGACACCACTTTGAGAGCCAAAGCAGTCCCTGGATGCCAGAGAGCAATATCAAGCAGAGAAGAAGAGGAATATGCTTTGGACCCCTTCATTTAATCTGTAACTTCATATAGTACATATTATCCTATTTTATAGATGGAGAAACTGAGGCAAAGGAACTAGCCCAAGGTCACACAGCTGGGAACCGACTCAACTTCTGTCATCTATACATAGCGTGAACTCACTGCATCAGTTTGGATCCGGAGTGGCATGTTTCTCAGCATCCTTGCCCTCACGTCAGCATTAAATCACATATTGTTCAGTAAAAATTCATGTCCTATAATCTGCTATGTATTGGTAAGGCAAAGACTATGTTATGATTACGGTTTTCCTCCACCAACCCCTGGAAAACCCACCATAGCCCAGCAGCCCCTGGAAAATCTCTCTTGACTCTGTCTGTCTCCCTCTTTTTCTCTCTCACTTTATTCAATGTTAGCAAGGTTATTATTTTATAATATCTCCATTTCTTATTTTACTTAAAGCTAAATAAATTTTTCTCTACACGTGTAGTCCCACATTTCTCAATCATCAGCACACTATGTACCGCATTTACTTAATTTAAGATTTTATAATAATCCTGGGGCTCAGAAAAGACAGGTAAATTGGTTAACTTTCAAAACCAAGTTTTTCTAATTCCAAAGGCCATGGTCTTCCCCACTGTCTCCTTCCACATTTATTTACATGTAATTTAAACTATTTCATGTGAGCCACCAGAAAACATTTGGCCCCAGTGAAATAACTGTTGAGGTCTCACAGTGGCAAAAGCAGACTGGCTAAAGACCTGCCCATAGCTTTGCTCTATGCCCTCACTGGGCCACCAGCAGGGGTAATTCATACCAATATTTCCTATGAATCTCATCCAACCAGATTTCATGGACTGCAAGATTTCAGCATCATCCCGTTTGTCAGGGTGCATCACAATTTCAAATATGCTCTTCACCACTCAAAAATTACCTGAATTTTAATGCCACACTGATAGCTCACATAGATTTCTTCAAATATAGATACACTTCCTATGGCTCTCAGTATAGCAGTTTTTAGAAACACAAACATTTTTCTAAGTGAAAAAAAGAACAATTTCCAAATATAAGCTCTGAGAGTCTTTCTTTTTCTCTCTTCTTTCCTTTCTCCCTCTTCTTTTTTCTTTCCTTTTTTTCTGCCTTCTCCTTCTCCTATTCTATCTCTCTCCCTCTCTCCCTCTCACTCTCTCACACACACAGACACAAAAGAAAAACTCCACCAAGATCTGTTTGTCTTTGCTGTCCTCACCCTCAGAAATTTGACAAATACTTTATCCCTCTCTTTGGGTTGCTGATTCATTAACAAAAACATTAAAAGGAGAATAATAGAGATAAATATCATTACTTTTCTACCTCACTTTGTCATCACAAAATATAGGCAAACTGTGCTTTGTTTTTACTTACTGCTTGTTTCTACTAAGTAGTAAATTAATACATCTTTTAGCAAGGGAGGTATTTTGGGGCATTAGTAACGCCATTGTGGTTTAAACTACAAGTTCTCCGAGTTTCATTCTCTAGAAGCACATATTAAAATGTTTCAGAAAGACTGCAACTTTGAAGGTATTTTGTTTTTATACACTACACAAAACCACCAGACTCCACTTCATTTATTTGTGTGACTGGTTCTTGCTCATTCTTTGTCACCATCTGCACCCTTCATGGCCCAGCTCAAATATCACCTCCTCTTAACAGCTGATGGGATGCTGATGCTCGGTTTGCCATGCTGCCAATACATTTCACTTACACCTTTATTATGTTTCTCACCAAAGAGTTGGCCGGAGAGAGAGTCATACATGGATCTGTTCATCACTGTTGCTCGTTACCTACCCCTCAGGTTCACAGGGTAGAATCTGAACTTGGTAAAGGCAACGCTTACATATAACTCACTGCCTCTAATTTGTCTTTATGACAGCTTGGTAGGGTGTGCTCAATAATTATTAGTTAAATTACATTAGGAAAAACAACTTCTGTCCCATTCTGAATCAGTTAGATTATGTATCCCACCAAAGGATGCTGCAATTGATAGTGACATCTGGTGACGTATGTAGATTATAGCTTTTAAGTAAACTTCTAGGGACACATTTCAGATGAAAGAACTCTGGACTCCCATAATTCATTAAACTGACTTTACCAAACAGTAATTCATTAAACTGACTTTAGGAAACAGCATCATCCATTCAAGAAAAACAAGTTTTATATCTCTTATCTACAGGAAGGGAAGCAAGTCAATATGTTTTCATCACATACTATTTGCTAGGCACTGGGATAAATAGTTTAATAAAATTGCTAAGAATTATTTCCAAAGCCAACGTTGTCCATCTTTTTCTGCGTGCCAAATTTGTCTCATCCTTCATTCAAAATTCTTAATATCCAGGCTCCTAGTATATACATATTCTTCTCAGATCATTCCACAGAGATGGCTTTCATATGTCATATGTAAGATTTTAAGACTTTAAGGATGTGTGTGTTTTGAATGTAATATAAACAAATTGTAAGTGCTTTTTAAAAAATTAAGCTAGATTTTTGTCTCCTGACTGATAGGAATTTAGTTAATTTTCACTTATCTTTCACTCATCACACTCTCTGAAATATTACATAAAGTTGTTTATCTTCAATATTAAAGAATTATCTGTTATGTATTTTTTTATATTTATCAACTTAATTATTTAAGTTTCAAAGTGCATGAAGATTTTATGGAGACATCATATGGCTAACCTTCATGTTTCCCCCACATTTTCTAAGTAAATGTGTCCTTTCTCATAAATGTTTCCTTCCAACACAGCTTAAAATAGACATGGCTTCCTTAAGGGTATAAACCATAAATTGCATAGGACTTGATCACAGGTCAACATAAATGCTTCATGAGAAATGTTAGGTTAGTGTAATAATTATAAAAGTGTTTAGTTTGGCATTAGAAATACTAATTTCCAGATCACGAGAGTCAAAATACTGCCTGCTTGGAAAAGTATTGACAGTTTCCTGGATTCAATAAACTGCAAAACTAAAGATTGTTATGTCTTATTTTATAAAAAACAAAATAAATAATATTGTTCTCCAAACACGTAATGGTAGAATCTTTTAATACAAAGGTCTAATGGTACATCCAGGCCTAATTTTCTCACTACCAGCCTTCTAACATTTGCATTCACTTTAACCAGTCTGAGAGCTATCAGCTGAATTTTAAAACTTGTTGAACAGTTTAAAATTGCTTCCTGTCAATATCATTTCATGAAGGGATAAACTATTTCTTCCTTAATTTCAAATGTAGAATAGCTTGATGGTGATATAGCTCTTCTCTATACACATAAAACTGTATAAGCATTTAAAGGAGCACTTTGCAGGATTTTCTTGAGGCATAAAGAGCAAATAAGAAGGATTTTTAAGGAGCCAAAGCAATGTTTGCTATTACTATTGGTACGTTCTGCCAAGTAAATTCTGTACTCAGTATGGCTGCCAGTGCTTGCTGCTTATTGACACCAGATCCTCAGGCTCAGATGCAGTGGGTCTATTCTACAAGTTGTTCAATCTGCCTTATCTCTCTATCCATCTTGACATCTACTATGTCATCTCTTCCCACTTACTGTTTTCTACTAATGGAGCTTCCCAAGTCATTTCCTCTTTTTCTTTGGGCATGGCTCACATAGTTAACTCCACAAATGTCAAAATGATACCTTCGTAACCCATGTAAGTAATTTCCTAAATTCTATTCTCTCAATTTGCACTTTCAAAACTAATATCATGCTAATGCTCAAAGTATAATAATGTTAAAGATAAAAAGGAACTCTCTCTATTCTTAATACATTTCACATTCTGCTTTTTGCTTCAGGTTAAGTAAAAGAATTCTCAAGACTTAAAAAATATATCACTTTATTTACATGACATGACTAAAAAATCATCAGTTACTATTTTGTCAGTCAGTTGATTCTACCTAATTTGTCATTTATTTTTCTTCCACAAATGTTTTCCTTCCCAAAAAGAATTCACTCCCATACAGTCTAAGTACTATAGTAAAATTGTCACAGCACTCTTGACTGCAGCCTTTGCCCTGGGCACACTGGAATAAAGAATGCTTATTGGCAAGCCAGTAATCCAGTATTGCTAGAAAGAAAAAGCAACCCTGGAGTTTTCTCATATTGGTCAAATCGTAAGTCTGAGGATAATGTGGACTCTCAGGCAACTGTTTCCATAGGTAACCTGGAATTCCCGAGGAAGTACAATCCTGGCTCACAGATGTTCTTATTTGTCATTTATTTCATGTGGGTCAAGGCACCTGAGCATGAAGGACAGACTGTCCCTCAGTCCACAATACATGTATCACCTAGCCCAACACAAGCTTACACTAATGGTGACCAGAAGAAAAAAATAATACTGCGAATTCAACTAAAAAGTCGTTGCTTGTCCTTTTTCTCATATCAGATGCCAATACAGCAATTGAGACCCTCATTTCAGAATGCCTAGGGGCTACTATCATGATATTCTCCAGAAAAACAAGTGTTTTAATCTGCTGCCTAGTTTACTTAACAGGTCATGAATGGGCAGTGTGTCTAGACATGAGAAGCAAAGGGAAAGACAGAGGCAATTATCAGGAGCTAGGAAAAATAATCACAAGCTGAAATGTTTGCCTCACTCACTGGACTATCCCAAAAAGCACCTTATCCTCACCTGTGGTCCCCATCACTAATAGAGCTACGAATGCCAAGTTTTCACTTTACTTGAGTAGAAATATCCTTTGTAGCCTGAAGTGGTGATGAAATTGATGGAGTAGACAAATAAACACAAATCTCATTAAGGAGGGATTTTTTTTTCTTTTGAGGAGGCTCTAAGAAACAGAGTTCAGAAAGTTTAGAGAATATGTATGAGTATTGCAGCCTATTAAAGTAAGCGGAATTAGCTTTAGGAGAGTGTTTGGCTTGTTCATTAGCAGAATAAAAAAATTCAGGTCATTTTAGCAAAAACTTGCTTCCCCTCTTTTATCTGTATAATGTCAATACCTGAGAATGCAATCAATTCCACTTTTAATTAAGAGTGTACAGAAGGTGGCCAGGTTTAATGAAGAATTCTGGGATGCAGGTAGAAGATAGGAACTCCAAGATCAAGGGATGCTATAACATAAAGACTAGTTCTGGTGCCACCAGCAACCAATAGTGTGATTTCTTGGGCCTCAGTTTTCCTATCTGAAAATGACTTGAGATTAAATGTGTGATTTCCAAAATGGGTGAATAGTTTTTGTATTCACATTTACATTTATTTATTCAAACCAATATTTCACAGAAGCTTAGGCTAAAAAACTGTATGAGGTATAGGGAAGAAGAGGTTTTATGCTAGAAAAACACCTGATAACATTCCTCTCTCCATAAGATTCCTTGGGCATCTCAGAAGAGATGGAAAGAGATGATCTAATATCCCTATGAATCTCAGAGGTGCTAATGCAGAACATATTTAAGAATGTAAGTAGTAGGTACAGCACTCTGCGTAATAATCATTACACATTGATAGTTTTCCTCTATTTGTCTCCAAGGCCAGGATATAAAAGAAAAATCCACCCCCAGAGTAGAGAAGTTTTTAATCTTCAGGCAGTGAACATTTTCAACAGATGATATTCTAATGGAGAGAAAATAGATTTTTATCCCTGAGAAATGGAAAGAAAAGCTGATGTCTGAGCTCTTTGGATAAACTGTAACAGCAGGAGGTGGATTGCTGTTTGTTTGATGCTCCCTGGTAGGTAACATTCTCTCTGTAATGTGTCCACACTTTAATACCTGCTTTCTGTGAAACAAGCAAGACCATCTTTTCTCCATAATGTTACCTTACACTAGTTCGTAAAGTCTCACTGAATGGGTGAAATGTGTTATTATATTATACATAAATCCTCAGCAGAACTGCTTCTATTTTTGCTAAATTCATTTTTTATCAAAATAATGGAAACAAAATCTTCACATAAAAAATGTATTGGGCCCTCAATTTAATAAATTTGGCAGAATATCCAAAAACTAGGATGGTACGAGGTTCAAACCTAGAATATAGCTAATTGAGTTTGCTGTACTCAAATTCATCAAATTTCAGCAGAATACTAGTACTGAAGTTATCATGGTGTGAATAATTATTTCACAAGAGAAAATTCATTGCATGTGTCTAAAAGCTTTATTCTCAAGGAATACTGACTGCATAAAACTTTTCTAAAAGTAAACTAAGTCTACAAGCCTGCATGTGTAGGTATCTGTATACATGTGGAATGCAAACATGATCTGGATTTCCACTTGTTCTGGCTGATCACAACCATCGTGCACTCATTTTGCACTGAACGGACTATTGTGTGTGCTTATGAGGCTATTGCTGTGCTAGGGGCTGGAAGTTTAAAGATGAATGTAACCTCAGGCAAGGTTGAAGGCTCCCTAAGCCTTGGTTCATTCATAAATAAGATGAAGAGGATATGAAATAGTATAGAATGAAGTGATAATGTGATAATAGGAAATTTATTGATAGCAAGTGAAACATCACATTGAAAACACTTTTCCCGTTTCAGCTTTCTACATATGGCTAGCCAGTTTTCCCAGCACCATTTGTTAAATAGGGAATCCTTTCCCCATTGCTTGTTTTTCTCAGGTTTGTCAAAGATCAGATAGTTGTAGATATGTGGCGTTATTTCTGAGGGCTCTGTTCTGTTCCATTGATCTATATCTCTGTTTTGGTACCAGTACCATGCTGTTTTGGTTACTGTAGCCTTGTAGTATAGTTTGAAGTCAGGTAGTGTGATGCCTCCAGCTTTGTTCTTTTGGCTTAGGATTGACTTGGCGATGCAGGCTCTTTTTTGGTTCCATATGAACTTTAAAGTAGTTTTTTCCAATTCTGTGAAGAAAGTCATTGGTAGCTTGATGGAGATGGCATAAGAGGCAACCTACAAAATGGGAGAAAATTTTCGCAACCTACTCATCTGACAAAGGGCTAATATCCAGAATCTACAATGAACTCAAACAAATTTACAAGAAAAAAACAAACAACCCCATCAAAAAGTGGGCGAAGGACATGAACAGACACTTCTCAAAAGAAGACATTTATGCAGCCAAAAAATACATGAAAAAATGCTCACCATCACTGGCCATCAGAGAAATGCAAATCAAAACCACAATGAGATACCATCTCACACCAGTTAGAATGGCAATCATTAAAATGTCAGGAAACAACAGGTGCTGGAGAGGATGTGGAGAAATAGGAACACTTTTACACTGTTGGTGGGACTGTAAACTAGTTCAACCATTGTGGAAGTCAGTGTGGCGATTCCTCAGGGATCTAGAACTAGAAATACCATTTGACTCAGCCATCCCATTACTGGGTGTATACCCAAAGGACTATAAATCATGCTGCTATAAAGACACATGCACATGTATGTTTATTGCGGCACTATTCACAATAGCAAAGACTTGGAACCAACCCAAATGTCCAACAATGATAGACCGGATTAAGAAAATGTGGCACATATACACCATGGAATACTATGCAGCCATAAAAAATGATGAGTTCATGTCCTTTGTGGGGACATGGATGAAATTGGAAATCATCCTTCTCAGTAAACTATCGCAAGAACAAAAAAACCAAACACTGCATATTCTCACTCATAGGTGGGAACTGAACAATGAGAACACATGGACACAGGAAGGGGAACATCACACTCTGGGGACTGTTGTGGGGTGGGGGGAGGGGGAAGGGATAGCTTTAGGAGATATACCTAATGCTAGATGACGAGTTAATGGGTGCAGCACACCAGCATGGCACATGTATACATATGTAACTAACTTGCACATTGTGCACATGTACCCTAAAACTTAAAGTATAATAATAATAAAATAAAATAAAATAAAAACACTTTTACCATTGCCTAGACTATAGAAGCTATAGGAAGTATCATCTAAACAGTTTCTGTTACAATAATTTTCATCACTACTAGTAATGTTACTAACAAAACAACAAATAAAAGCCTATTAGGAGACAGACATGTAAACATGTAATTATATATCAGTACAATGGGCTCTAAGTGAGGAAGAAGTTTCTGCCCTTAGCCCAACCTGGGAGAGGTGGTAAAGGCTTCAAAGAGGAAATGACATTCAATTAAATCTTGCTTTGGAGCAGTCATTTGGCGGGAGGAGAAATCAAAGAAGGAAATAAAGCCGTGGGCTGCAGGGCACCTGTGCCTAAGGGAGTGGGTAGGGAGGGTATTGTGGCTGCAGCCAGAGCTGTCTGTATTTGCGACATTTGCCTTGTAATGTGCTTTGTGAAAGTGGAGCTGGGAGAGGGGTGAGACACATGAAAGCCATATTATGTGAAGTTTGGAATTTATGCCATAGGAAATGGTGAGAGGTTTGCAGTTTTTAATTTAGGAATTGACAAGATCAGTCACTAGAAAGGAAGCCAAGCAGTGCTGGTTTCACAACAAACTCTCTTCTGAGATTACTGGAGCATGGTGATCCTTACACTATTTCGACTTGGCTTTGACTCCAGGACTGATTCTCAGCTTTGAAACTCAGTGACTCTGGGATTTGACCGCTGGCTGTGTCCTGGAATTGACTGTTTGGTGAAACCGGTTTAATCTTTTGATCCTTTTCTCATTTCCATCTTCTTCAGCCTGATGCCAGCTTCCAGCTCCCAGAGGTCTGCCTTAGGTTGTGGTTGGTGTACAATGAACTCATACATTTAAATATATTCCTTTCCCTACGTTTTTAGAATTGATAGGAAGTATTTACATAGATTTCATTTGAGGTGCTTTTGGAACTGATCATTCAACCAAGTACATGGAAGTGGGAATCGGTGTATCAGATTATTTCAATGTTGCTAAAGTGGCCAGTACCCAGCCGAGCCACAGTAAAAGCTGAGGCAAAAAGTAAAATAAAAAATACTGTCTCTACTTAAAACTTTTGTAATTCATTCATCACGAATTTTGCATTAATTTTCATTTTAAAATATTGCATTAAATATATTAATTTTTGAAAATTTTTTGGATTACTTTTTGAATCTTGCACCCAAAGTAAGTATTTCATTTGCCCTACCCTTGTCCCAGCCCTGAAAGTGACAGGTATATCCCAAACACTCATCACTAGGATCAGGTGGTCTGTGTGTTGGGGGTAGGTGCACAACATTTAGAAAGTACTATGTCCCATAACCAAACATCCATGAAGAAAGGTAGTGTTTCCCCAGAGAAGGGCCTAATATTCCCAGTAACTTCAAATGTGGTCCTGTTTCCAAATAATCTACGGGAAACATATGACACAGAAGTCAAGGCTTCTTAACTTTAAGTTCCAACAGCAAAACTAAACTGGAATAAAATAATTCAATGAAAACGTTTGACAAATAAGACCAAAAACCTCTCTCTCACACATTTTTTTTCTATTATCTGTAGACAAAACAACAAAAACAACCTCAGTATTACATGTATTTTTAAACTTAAAAATGATGATGATGAAGATGATGATGATGATGATGATACCATGTATTTGCTATTTTCTGCTACTAACATCAGAGTCTTAAAAGATTTTTAGAGTTCAGTGGAAATTTAAGGCCAACTCCTCCATGTTGCACTGCGTAGTAGGTGTGGTGGTGGGACATTCAGATCCCCGCATCAGGATGGAGGAATGGATGGGACAGGAGATGTCTCAGCTGCCAGAAGGGTTGGCTGCCAACAGCTTACAGCCGAGTTTCTCTCCGGGATCCAACCTTAGCTGAAGAGAGCTGCTTTGCCTAAGATTATGCCCTAACCCTAACACAACCAACATCCAATAACTTGGTCGATGCTGGGGCACGAGGGCTGAGCTTCCCTGCCTCAATCTTGAGAGCTCTGAAGGACCATCACAGAGGCAGATGGCCTCAGAGGTGACACCAGCTGAGGGCCTCGTGGCAACTATAGCAAAGCTCAACTTTTCCTTCTGCCCAATCCTGTTTCTTTCTCTCTCTTGAGATAAACTTCCTGCACTCAAATATCTGTCTCAGAGTGTTTTTCCCAGGGAACCCACCATGGGGCACACTGAAACCCTTAAAATGTATCTGGAAAAAAGAAGCGGCACAGCTATGAACCAAAGAAAAGCCAGACACAATATCCTCTCTTGCAAAGGAGGGTAGGAGCAGATTTCCACCAGATACGGAAGTTGTACTTTTTCTCAAGTGTCTCGGTGGTCACAGGTCATCCATTCCTTAAATACTGGCAGGTGCTTTGCTTGTCAGCTGCATAAACTGTCCCACATTTGCCATTAGCCATCTCTATTAATGAGATATTATACATGAAGCACTTTCTATTGATTTAACTCAAAGGGCACTCCAGCAGCTCTCATTATTTTATAAGGTCAAAAGAGAAAATGATCACACCTCCATTAGTCAAGAAAATATCAGAAGTCTGTTGGTGGCGGAGTGGTGGAGAAGGTGGAATCATCTGAGCAGAGAAAATAATGCTCAAGAAGAAATCATTCCCAGAGAGACGATCAAGTCCAACTACAATAACTTAGCAACCGCGGAAAAAATAAGCACATTTAAACAGATCTGAAAACAACTGAAAGCAATAAATTACTTGAAATTCATATTATCCTTTGTGGAATAACAAAAACATTTTTGCTTTATGTAATTTCTGGATGTAAATAAAAAGGAAAAAATTCTGAAACAGTGTTTCTAGACATTCTCCTAATATTAAGCAATGAGAAATGTATTACTCAATATTCAGGGACATTTGACTTTTTCTTTTATAAACATGGAATCCTAAGATATTTTTAGCTCTTTCTCAACTTTCTGTCCTGCTTAGAGAACATGTTCTACAATTGATTAACAGTTATGGGATGAGATACACCTGGCCTGATCGGAAGACATTCAGTCCTGTGTGATGGTTATTTTTATTAATTTTTCTCATGTCCCTAAAACTGCAAGGCAAGCATTGTTTAATTTATTCCTTAACAGAATCATATGAGGCAGATATTACTACAGGTTGTTTTATAGGGACTCTGAAAGAGGTTAAGTAATTTGCCCCATGCCACTGGGCTAACAAACGGGGAGCTGGTGGGGTGTGACCACCATGTCTGTTTCTAACCACTACCCAATGCTGACTCCCAGCATTAAAATAATGTGCATCCTAAGCAACCAACATTTCCTTTTCAGCACAAATTTATATGGAAAACAGTCTTTAATTAAATCTCTACTCTGTGCTTTTTAAGGCCTTCATTTAATTTGTGTAAGCATATTCTCTCTCTCATGTTGCTAACTAGAACCATCAAGAGCAGACAAAGAAGACCTTTTTTACAGAGAAAACCTTTGAGGAAGCTTTTAAAAAAATTTTAGCTATATTTTGGACAGTTAATTCAGTGTAGTGATATTATTCTACTGTAAAAATATGTTTGGAATACCAGTTAAGTATCACCCTAAATATGAATAATCTGCCAACTAAATCTGCCTGTCTTTTGTTCTGAGCAAATATTGGCATACATTCACTCATCTTCAAAACTTCTTATATTAAGTTCAAATAATATACGCAAAGAAAAAAGACTGAAAGGAACCACACCATATATTACCTCAATAGATTGTAGGTGATTTTTGTTTTCATAACTGTTTTATTATTTTAGCTCTTAAAATTCAAACAATAATAACTACAAATTTTCAACACATTCCACATCCATGCAGTGGCAAAGAAACTATCCGAAAAGTAATTATGTGGGTGTTTAATCTGTGTTTGATTTAGAAAAGGAGGCAATTTAAAGGCAAACTATACTTTAAGAGCTTAAAGACAGAAAATCTCACTTGTGAACACAGCATGTCATTATGATCATTTCTCTAAATGAAAAATCTCAAGTAATGAATTTTGTTGCTGATTTCATATTTCGAGGGTGTTGCTTAGAAGACTTTTCCATTTGAAGAAAAACACCTTGGTCTTTTTGAGATGGAATAATCGTGGGGGAAGAGTGCCCATCCAATCCAACAAATGTGCATTTATTGCTTACTCTGGGCAAAGCAATGACGGGAACTGGAAGCAGCCCAAAGTGGAAGTGTATCAAGGTGAATATTTCAGCAGAGATTTTCATTTCTGATTATATTTAACTTTATTAATAACAAAGAGATTCAAAAATTCTATTAAAATATAATGTTGAAAATTGCAACTATAATGTAATTGCACCAAGGTCAGGAGAAAAAATACTCTATCAGTTAGGCTGAGGGAATCAATCATCCACTGTGCATATGAAGCAAATGTCACATACTCCACTTAGCATCCACTTTAATAACAGTTCTGGAACAGGTCTTCAAGCTAATAAAAAACAACTTTCCTTTTCAATAATTTTCACTTTCTGGTCAGAACAACTACATGCTCAAACAATAGGCAAGACAGCCATTTTAGTCATTTTTTTTTTCACATTTTCCACCTGCTTCCATTAAAAGGATGTTAAGTGGTGCAAACTAGACACATGGGGTAATTTCACGTGAATCTGCACATTAGGGACTTTCAAATAGTTCAATAAATGTTGCATTATACACCACTTAAAGCAATATGGTTTTAAACAGTGTGAGGGATATTCCCAATGTATATAGCTCGACGTTGTTCTTAAAGAACAAGATATTTTATCTGCCTCTAAGCAATAGTCATTTTAGAATTTAGTAAAGTAGTGAGCAGAAAATCAATTCCTGACAATTATCATTAAGAATGTTTTTTTTAAAACAAAATAACAATAATGCTAAAAGCCAGTACTACCATTTAAATAAGATAACAGGAATTTGACAAAAATGAAGTTCATGAGCCAACTGCTTTATACATGACGGCCTGAGGAGTGTGGGGCTCCTAACCAGGTGGATACATCCTGTGCTAGTCCCAAGGAAACATTAATAGTTGACACAGCACCATAAACTCCTCTTCAATCTTTATCTCTTTCTCTCTCTCCATGCCCATTTGCCCAACAGTCTCACAGAAAGTCACTTCACCCAGCTAATGAGGCTGCAGCTGATTCCCTCTAGTTGCCAGATACTTCCCCCGCCCACGCCGCCGTCACTCAATCCTCCAGACACAATGTTGTTGTTTTATGCCTGGCGTGCTCTCATCTTAGGCCCTTTGCACTCGTGCTTCCCTTGGGTTGAAGTTCTTTCTGGAGATTTTCTCATGCTTGGCTTCCTGTAGTCATTCAGGATCCACCATGACCCTGACACTCAATGTAATTAGATACTCCCATTCCATTGAATTACCTGTATTGTCTTCATGGGACTTAACACTACTGAACCTCCTACTAGTCAAAACTCCATGAGAGTAAGATCCTTACCTTAATAACCATGGTATCCCCAGGACTTACAGCAGTTCCTTGGCATATGGTGGGACTCCAGTGAATTTTTGTTGACTGGACAAATGAATACATAACTGAACCAGTATATTTTGCTCAAATGACTGCAAAGGTCTCTCCTGTTTTCTGTTTCTTTCTACACAGAAAAACAAGGATAATCCTTCTAAAATGAACATTAGATGTCACTTTCCTTCTTCAAACATTCCATGGGTTCTCCTTGTAATTAAAAATCCAAATTCCATATCATAGTCTTCAAGGTCCAGCAAAATCTGCCTTCTGCAGAATTCTCCAACCTCACCTCATTCCCACTCTTTTTAACCTCTCTCACCCATCCCCATAGCAAGCTCACTCCCTCTGAGGGCTTTTGCATTTTCCATTCCTTCTGCTTTGAAAGCCATTCTCCAACTCAGCATGGACACCTCCTTCCCACGGTAGTCCCATCAGGACTCAGTTCAAATAGCACCTCCTCAAAAGACCTTTCCTGACTACCTTCATTAAACTGGGATCAGAGAGCAAACTAGGACTATGATTTTCATTTGAATACATATATTTATAAAGAAACAGAAAAAGTAACTTTGATTAGGGTGGATAAGAACAGCTTCTATCAATTTATCAGGACGGTGAAAACTCAGTTTAAGTTTGACAACATTGTTGGTGCTATATGCATATTAATCTTTCCAGAATGTTACTTTTTAGCTCTGTAATTATAAATCTTTTCTGTAAAATAGTAATTTTGGGCAAAAACAATGTTGTTCTATCGTGTGTGTGTGTTGGGGTTGGATATTATTAGATATTATGCAATGAGCCTGTTACCTTTATTCTCCTATTCAGCTGTAATTAAACAATTAATCTTTCCTTCTTACAACCTCCTACTTCTACAATTCTCTTTCCCTCCCAATATAATAGACACAGTAGGGCAGACCAATTTCATAGCTTCAATTCTGCTTGTATTTATATTTAAAGTTCAAACGTTTAATGTAGAAACAGTGTCATCTCCAAACATGGTTCCTACAATTCTTAACAAGTTCATAAACACAATAAAAGGAACATTGTCATCAAAGGAGGATGGCTGTCATGAAGGAATGGCACACAGGCAGACCCTCAGCAAAGAGCCTCACAGAACTGTTGCTAATAGGAGGCTTCACTGTGTTACAGGCTTGGATTCAATCCGCATGGAGATGCTGTATTATCGGTTGAAAGGCAAATATAAAAATACACATTTCCGTTGTGTTTCATTTTATTTCATAGAAATCTCACTTCAAATAATATTCCAAGCACTTAGCTCCATAATAGCAAAGTGGATAAGGAAATACATTTCTAAATGGTTTCCAAACTACAAAGGTTGAAATGCAAGCAACCTTTCTATGTTACTCTGCATTAACATAGTATTTTAATTGCTACAAACATTACCGATATAAGGAGATGCTAACATTTTTCAAATACCTTTACATAGAGAACTGAGCCATAAAAAGCTCAAAGACACACACTCAAAGTTATTTACAAGTGAATCCATCCTTTTAAATTTGGTGATCTAGCTTTCAACTAATCACAAAGAGAATATATGTATATTATTCTTATAGTCCCATTTTTACCCAGATGTTGACCTGAATATAAGTACCAGTATTAAATGTTTCCTCACAGACCTTTCTACATGCATTTTATGATCAGATTTCCTAAAATATGTATAGCTTTTAATACCATAATGTAGAAATTTAGGTATGAAAAGCTATACATATTTTAGGAAATCTGATAATGTTATTAATAAAATAATACTATGGCATAGTGCTATTAATAAAATGATACTATGGTATAGTGCTATTAATAAAATGATACTACAGTATAGTGCTATTAATAAAATAATACTATGGTATAGTGCTATTAATAAAATAATACTATGGTATCGTGCCATTAATAAAATAATACTATGGTATAGTGCCATTAATAAAGTGATGCTACGGTATAGTGCCATTAATAAAGTGATGCTATGGTATAGTGCCATTAATAAAGTGATGCTATGGTATAGTGCCATTAATAAAGTGATGCTACGGTATAGTGCCATTAATAAAATGACACTACGGTATAGTGCTATTAACAAAATGACACTACGGTATAGCACTATTAATAAAATACTACGGTATAGCGCTATTAATAAAATGATACTACGGTATAGCGCTATTAATAAAATGATACTACGGTATAGTGCTATTAATAAAATGATACTATGGTATAGTGCTATTAATAAAATAATACTACAGTACAGTGCTATTAATAAAATAATACTATGGTATAGTGCTATTAATAAAATAACACTACAGCATACTGCTATTAATAAAGTAATACTACAGTATAGTGCTATTAATAAAGTAATACTATGGTATAGTGCTATTAATAAAATAATACTACGGTATAGTGTTATTAATAAAATAATACTATGGTATAGCATTATTAATAAAAATAGGGTATAGTTAATGATAATTAATTGTATATTTTAAAATAACTAAAAGTATATAATTGGATTGTTTGTAACACAAAGGATAAATGCTTGAGGGGTTATTTATTCCATTTATCATGATGTGATTATTATGCATTATATGCCTATATCGAAGTATCTCATGTACTCTACAAATATATACACTTAATACTATGCACACACAAAAATTAAAAGTTAAAAAAAATTTTAAATACTAAAATTAAAAATTAAAATAATAGAAGTTGGACATCCTCTGAGATTGAGACATATTTTGAATTGTTTGTATTTCCAAGTACAATTGACAAATGTTGAATCATGTTTGACAAGTAAAGTATCGATTCTTATAAAGTATGAAAGCTAATCAGGACTCTGTAATTCAGCAGGTAGAAGTGAATCGTTGACAAATGAAATGAATGGTCCCCAGAGAAATTGTTCCCTTCTGAGAGATTTCTGAAGGAAAGGTTTATTTTTTATTTTTTATTTTTTTGTCCAAAACCAAGTATATCCTCATAATATAGAAGATTTTTATCCATATATAGATTTTTCATTTACATCCCAGTTCTAATCTGTTCTTGCAGGCACTATTTCTTAACTGGATATATATTTAAAAACATGTGTACAACAGTTTTGTAAATTCAAAATAACTCACACACAGCTTGGCCACGCTTTCTCTCTTTGATTTTGTTTAAATTTTCAATTACTCTTCAAAACATTTCAAAAAATACTGAGATCCTGCCCAATCCTCTCCCCCACCTCATTTTGGTTATTTCATGAAAGAAGTAATTCAGCACAGGAGGAACCAGACTGGAACAGTAACTCACAGAAAAAGAACAGATTACACTACAAGGCCATTGATCCTCTGCATGATGGTTTCTGGGTGTGGGAGCTCAAAAGAGAATGGAAACTGGTGATGAAAAACTGGTTCAGTATCATGATGTGCTCCAGAGACTGGCTATAACATTTAGTTAGTGAAAGAAAGGCACCAGCAATAAATAAGAGTATCTTCCACAGATATTCATTAAAATCCCTTCTTTATGAGTAACTTAACATTACTCCAAGGCTATGTCACTAAAAAAATAAAATAAAATAACAAAAAAACTGTGAAATCCACTGAAAGTGAAACATGTCCTTGGGAAAGCCATACATATAAGTGAAATATACATTTTCTCATGCCACTGTTTTTCACTTTCCATTGTAAAATTGAAACTGGCATTTACACAGTACATCCTAAAACATATGTTTCTAAAATAAGACAGACACAATAAAAACAGAGCAATGGAATTTGGAAGCTTCACATTATTGCTTCTCACCAGGATTCAAATCCCAGTGGCTTTATTTTTCTGACAAAGGTGAAAGCACATATTTCCAGGTCAAGTGATTCAATGATCAAGGAATACAGGAAAGAAGCACTAGACTTGAAGTCAGAAGACTTGGATGCTAGGCCAGACTCTGCTGTTTATTAGCTGTCAAGCCTCTGGACATCACTTAACTCCTCGGAGCCTCAGTGTTTTTTTCTATAATAACAGGGGGGTTGCCCTGTGTCCTTCACCAAGTTATTGTCAGAATCAAATGAGAATTCAGTGGACACAGAGAGTAGAAGGATGGTTACCAGAGGCTGGGAAGGGTAGTGGAGGGTTGATGTGGGAGGTGGAGAAGGTTAATGGGTTCCAAAAAAATAGTTTCGAAGAATGTATAAGACCTACAATTTGCTAGCACAACCAGGTCACTGTAGCCAATAATAATTTAATTGCACATTTTAAAATAACTGAAAGAGTATATTTGGATTATTGCTAACACAAATGATCAAGGCTTGAGGGGGTGGATACTCTCTTCTTCATGATGTGACTATTTCACATTGCATGCCTGTATCAAAACATCTCATATACCCCATAAATATATATACCTACTGTGTATTCACAAAAATCGAAAATCAAAAATTACATTAAAGAAGAATCAAATGTGATAATGTATTAAAGTTCCTTAGACAACATAAGTGTTTACAAAGTAAAGCTCTACCAGCTCTGTAAATTAAAATGTTTGTAGTCTACAGTGCAATAGTAGGATAATGCCATTCACAAGTTGTTGGAAAATTAAATTTAGTCCTACATTTTGGCAACTGTATCCCAAATCTTTTGTCCACAGAGGCAAGGAGACAGTACCCAGTGATTTAGAAGTGCTCAATAACACCAATTTTTCAAGCAAACATATAATTGAAAATAGTCTAATAGAGTTGCATAAGCCAAATCACAAAATTAAGGTGTAAGTCTGAGGCAATGTATGAATTGCCTGACAATTTCACAAAGCCTTAAATTGTTAGGTTAAACCATATAAAACTACCTTTCTGTCATTCAAAAATTACAAAAGATTGTTAATGTCATGTTGATAAACTGAACATATCAAATATATAAGGCAGTCATTTTAGATCCTTTGAACTTCATCACCCTCCAAAAATAATTTAGCAATGATTACATTTCTAACACGTCAATAAAAAAGATGCACGTACCAATAGAAAAGTTGGAAAAAGATACAGCTAGGCTGTTCACAAAAAAATCCTAAAGACCTAAAAAAATTAAAGATGCTCATCTTCCAGTACTCAAATAAATGTAAATTAAAATAGGAATCTTTCTTCTCACCTATTAAACTGGCCCAGATTAAAAAGCAGAACAAACAGCAACAACAACAAACACTGTATTGGTGCTAGAAAGCATGGTATTCTCGAAGGCAGTCTGGCATTTGTATCAAACACCTGAAAAATATTCATACTATTTAACCCAGTGACTAATCTTCTGAAAATTAATCATAGAGAAATAGTCTTAGATTTGCATGAAGATTAAACTATGAAATGAGAATTATACATTTCTAAAAATAAAATACGATAAAAATATTAAGAAAATGAGGGTTTGTCATACAAATGAATGCTATGCAATCATTAGTATGGATGCTATGGATAAATATGGAAAGGTCTTATTTATACCATTAAGAAGGAAGAAAGTTTAGTTTATAAACCATATTTATACGTTGATATGGTTGTTATATATATATGAATAGGATATATATTTATGTCCTATGTTCCAGGAACTGAACTTAGTGCTTTAATTTTATCAGCTTCCGCAATCCTCAGAACAATCCCATGAACTAAGTACAATCATTATAATCCCCACTGTACACATGAGAGAAATAGAGCACGTTTTGCCAAATATTTCACAGCAGATATCAGAGCCAGAATTTGAATGCAGTTGAGTCTGTCATGGTAACCATTCTACCAGATTGTCTCCAAATTCTTACCAATAAAAAGCCCCGGAGGCTATCAACCAAATGTTAACTGTGTTTGTTTATCACAAATGAGATGATTGGTGGTTTTTGTTTTTGTTTTCTTGCTAAAACATTTAAATTTTCTACTTCAACCTTGTGTTCTTTTGTTCATTGTCATCATTTGTTATTCAAAATAGGTGCATTAAAACAGGCCAAAAAGTGGGACTAAGTTTAGTTCACCTAAGCAAATCATAACATTAAGAGGGAGGGGAAAAGAGCTTTAAGAAAAAGCCTAGGAAATAAATATCTCCTGCATCTGCCTCCACCTCTCCATTCCCATCATCACCACTTTGGCAAACCCTTCATTATCTTTTACAGTAATCGCCTATCCAAACTGCTGTCCGTGGTCTCTTCCTCTGCCCAGGCACCACACATACTCATTCCCACCAGAAGTCTCTTCCTAAAATACTTCTGGCTACTTCAGACTACTCGCTATTTATTCATTTGTGAAACATTTCCTCAACACCCACAGTGTGCCAATCACTGTTCTAAATTCTGGATATATAAAGATGAGTAACAGTCCTCATCCTCAGAGTTCCAAGAAACAGACGATCGTATTGCTGAATTTGTGCAATTTTGCAGTCCCGGAGTAAGAAAGCAAAACAAACATTTACAATGAAAAGTAGCCAGTGATAATAGTGCATGCTACAAAAGCACTATATGAGCACAGAAAAGGGCAAAAAGAATTCTCCCTTAGTAGGAAAAACTGTGTAGAATTGATGGAGAATGAAGCATCTTAGCTGTTAGGGGAGGGTGAATGGGTTAGGGAAATTGAGAAGCAATGTGAGTGGACCACCTCGACTGAAAAACACAAAGTACATGAACAAAGCAGAAGTACCTAGTTGACATGGTTACATGAACCAAGCAACCACTCAAAGGTCGCTAGTTAAGATTCCTTCCCACCCTCCAGGTTGGAATGGTTTATAATTAGCATAGGCAAATATGTGGTCCCTGTTCATCTTTTAATTTTTAGTGCAAGTGGGTGACAGAAAGGAGGTTTATTCTTTTTGGTGGGAAGTTGCCAACATCAGTATATTTTCAGCAATTGTGTCACAAGAAAGTTAAGTGAAAGGAAACACATTTTATAAGAATGAAACCTAAACTAACTTGATTTTTACTATAGGTATTTTGAAGAATATGCCAAGGGGCATTTTCCCCCTTTTAAGTGCAGAATTATTCCTGAGTGTGTATTCTTTATCATTTTAAACACTTATTTTGAAAAATTTCAAGGAATGAGTTAAAGGGAAAAATTAGAATGAAGAAGATTCTAAGGAGATACACCATCAATTTATTTATAATCTACATCCTTGAAAATAGGTGAAAGCATCATGCATCCTTCCATAATACTATCAGGATCATAGCATTTCTCCAAATATATCATATGATTGCATTACTGAATAATAGCAAAAAATCCACCAACTTCTCAACTTTATACTCATCTCTTCCGGAAAAAAAAAAAAAGAACAAAATACAACACTATTTTAAAAAAGAATTGACAGATGAAAGTTAAATAAGGGTCCACTTATGTTTATGACAGGCCTAAGTTTATATATCCAGTAGATCTGCAATCTCACACGCAGTTATATAGTTCATATCATGTAGTAGGTAGTCAAAAATGCTAGTGAAATTGGTTCACTCAGAGGGTTATACACAGTCATGTAAATAGATTTTTAAATAGACTCAGTTGCAGCGATATTGATTATTAAACCCTGCAATAATCACTCCTATCAGATACTCATTAAACATTTCTTCGTAATGTGAAATAACTATTTGGAGTTTACCATCTGCTAGAGACACCATAAGTGTAAAGAGAAACACGTTTTCTCTCATACTGCTGTCTGAACAAATCAACACTAATGGTTTTCTATGTAAATATTTTTTCCTAAATAAACTCAGACCAACACAACATGGATTTATTTTTATCACTGATAATCACATTTTCTTTTCTCTGTCTTTATAAACAACATCTACCATTAGTCCTCACCCAAGTAAATTCTATGCTTGTATGAAGATAGAAATTAAATTTGTGTTTCTTATACAAAGAATCTAGGCAGGTTTCCAGATATAATTTATGGAAGGACCTGTAATTTATTTTCTAATCATCACAGTTTGTTAATCATTGCAGGTCTGTGGGAGGGGGTAAAAAGTGGCACTAGGATTCACACACAAGTAAATAATTATAGAGCCTGACTGGTGCTGCCACTGTGCTGGCCAGACCTTCCTGCAGGGTCATGCTTGATTTTACACATAATGCTTGATTTTGTTTGGAAAACATGTTTCTTCTTCTGGGTAGATATATTTCTATTTGATGATCCAGAAATAAAACAATTAATGGCCTGGATTTATTTGTTTGTTTGTTTTTGAGATGGAGTCTCACTCTGTCACCCAGGTTGGAGTGACGTAGTGCAATCTCTGCCCACTGCAACTTTCACTACCTGGGTTCAAGCAATATTCCTGCTTCAGCCTCCCAAGTAGCTGGGGCTACAGGCATGTGCCACCATGCCCAGCTAATTTTTGAATTTTTAGTAGAGACAGGGGTTTCACCATATTGGCCAGGCTGGTCTCGAACCCCTGACCTCAGGTGATCCACCTGCCTCGGCCTCTCAAAGTGCTGGGATTACAGGCATGATTCACTGTGCCCGGCTTGGCCTGACATTTTTTAATGAAAGATGTATTAAATGGTACCTTTGGCAGTTAGTAAACCATACTGGAATTTATTAATACTATTGTCTTGAAAAGGTGGTGGCTATACAACTTTCAATTGGGCACTGAAAATGGAGTTGGTTGACATATGTCAATGGAGCATTATATGTACAATAAAGCTAACACTAGTCACCCATTTCCCTTCTAAAAGTAGAGTCCTCTCCACTTATTATTTATATCTTCACTCTCATATAAGGAATGTTATCACGGTATTAAAGTGGTGTTGATGCAGATACGTTTCAGTAGGGTCATGTTTGAATAATGGAGAGAATATAATGGCTATTTATTTTTATTTTATTTATTTTTTTTTTTTGAGACATAGTCCCTCTCTGTTGCCCAGGCTGGAGTAAAGTGGCATGATCTTGGCTCACTGCGACCTCTGCCTCCCAGGTTCAAGCAATTCTCCTGCCCCAGCCTCCTGAGTAGCTGGGACTACAGGTGTGCACCACCAAGCCAGGCTAGTGTTTTTGTATTTTTAGTAGAGACGGGGATTCACCAGGTTGGGTAGGCTGGTCTCTAACTCCTGACCTCAGGTGATAGACCCACCTCGACCTCCCAAAGTGCTGAGATTACAGGAGTGAGCGACTGCACCTGGGCCTATAATGGCTTTTCAGTAACATTGGTGTATAGAACCTTTGTCAATGAATTTTCTTTATACAGAGAAGATAGAGCTGTTGTCTTTTTAAAATATTTTTCTTCTTGAAATTCCACTAAAGAATGAACTTCTATAAGTGTGCCCAGAGAATCATACTGATTAGAGAATAATAGTAATAACCACAGAATGTGCTGTGCTCCCACTGTCTGGGAATTTCTTATCTGCGCACTTATGTCTGACTGCACTAAGTGGTTCTTTCTCAATCAACATTTGAAAAATTTCACTCTCTGCTCCACGTCTGTAGCCACTAAGATAATCAGACTGACACAAAGTACAGCCCAAGGGTCTGCCTTGGTTGCTGGGAATAAATGGAGGTGAACAGACACTGTCACAGCAATCCTTGTGACTACACTGTGTGGCACATTGGCTTGACAGTGTGGGCTATGATGAGGCAAGCAGGTCATGAACAGACACAGCAGGTATGGTGTCTGTTGACGAAGACTCCAACACAAGTAGGGCCATATTAGCAGATGGATTAATCTCTGTGCTTCAACTTGACTATCAAGAAATGGGAAGCCAGTTTTGGACTCGACCAGCCTTCGAGGAAATATCTTAACTAAAAATGTAATCTCTCTATATCTGGGTATCAACAGTCATGAGATGGATAATAGCAAAATGTATTTGTGTTTATGTAATGTGGGAAACACAAGAAGTAGGGGAAGGCTCAATGGAAGGGAATGTCATTGACATATATGGATGCAATCATTGCAAGTCGGGGCTGGATAAAATTTCCATAGCTGAATTTTGCCTAGAACTGTTTTGAATGCTGCTGAGTATCATTTCCCCTGAGAAGAAAAGACATTCTCTAAAGAAAGACTCCAGTGACAGTCCCTCTAGCGAGACTTGTCATTGAAAGAAGTTTAAGATGAAAGTTATAATTGCTTTTCAGAAGCTACATTATGAGCCAGAAACTCAAAGACTATCCTGGAATTCTAGGGTAACACTTCATAAGATTTTTCTTCTTCTTTCACATGAAAAATAAAGTCCATTAATTTAATATACTGTGGAGGCCCATTTATTATATAGTAGTCTTAGAAACGAAAAAGAAAATTGACTTGTCGTAATAAATTTGTATCCCATCTGCCAGAACTCACTAATACTATCTCTGCCTGACTCTTTGCAAGGTATTAAAGGGACAAACTCTGTGTAAATCATTTAAATAACTGACCTATATTCTTTCAGGCAGGGTATAGTCCTAATGCAGGCATAATATCCCTATTAGTACCCGTGAGCATGCCACTAAGTGATCATAGCTTTACCAGCTGCTCTTCAACTTGATATATACTCAAGGCCTAGTTAAGCTTTATTGTTAAATAATGATAAATGAATACTGATAGAAAGTGCTTTCTGAAACATCTTTTTATTTAACAGTTGAAAGAAGTATGGTTTGTAGCTAAAGGTTTTGTATTGGAAAAAATGCAACCTATGAATAATCAATTGGGCCATGTTTTAGGAATTAAAAGATTCCTATCTGAGAGAAGCAAGTGAATAACTATAGAATAAAATGATTAACAGGTCAGCAGATATTAAATCCAATAGTACTGAAAGAGGTTGAATCCCTGAGCTGGACTCAATCTTGGATTAATCTTTCAGCCCCAGCTTGAATATCAAGAAACAGAAGCCAGCTTTGGATGTAGGCCAGTCTCCAGGGGAAGAACCTAATACAGCAAGTTTCTTCACCCTTAATTTACCCAATCAAAAAGGAATTGGTGATGTTCTACCAAACTAGGTATAGGCTAGGTCTTGGAAATGAACAAATGACTCTTATTTTGTTTTCTTTTACACTTCTGGCCATTTCCTTAATTTATTTCAATTAATGTCAATGCCCCATCTCACAGTTTGAACGTGAAAATCTATCCTCCTTTGATTATTCCCGCCCCTTAATTGAAAACGTTTACAATTACATAGAGCTTAAAGTATCACACATAAGGTGCTTAGCATAAAGCCTGACACACAGAAAAAGCTCAACAAATGTTAGCCATAGCTATTCTTGTTAATATTATTTTCTTCTTTTGAGATTTGCTGAAGTATGAACAACAAAAGGTTCCAGGCCACAAGGCAATTGGTGTCAAGTGCTAAGAGGGGAAGAGTTCTTCATTTATCATAGATGCAAGTTGAAAGAGAAGCAGTACACACTTGCCATCCCTAGTTGAGGCAACACCTTCCCTTTTTCAGTTATGGGAATCAAGTCCAAGAGCGAGGAAGTGTGGCTCTGGCCACAGACCACGTTAGCTAAAGATGGAAGATGAACTCAATTCCAGGCACAAGTTGCAAGTGTGACATATCAAAAGTAAGTACTATTTTCTTTCTGTTTCAAGTTTCAAGAACTCTTGTTTATAGTTACTTAAAAATCACTGTGGATTAAATAAGAATGTTATATACTTTTGTCCATCTTAATCACTAATGAGTAGGGCAATGCAGCTGCCAGCTGGCTGGCAGTAATACGTGACAACTATATACCGCAAATGGCAACTAGATTACACTAGGGTGCATGGGACTGACTCATCATAAGAAAACACATGGATGTATAAATAAGCAGCTTGATAAAGCAAATTTGTTTATTCATTTGACCCTTATAGAAGTTTTACTTCCCTCCAGTCTGACGAACTCTCTAACTAGTAAGCTCACTTCAATTATAAGTGACAATGTTCCCAAATGTACTTACTGTACTGTCCTCAGATTGAAGTATAAGTAAAACTCCATCATCAACTTTCTCCCAAACTAGTTTTCAATTATTTTTTTCATTGCATAGGCTGGGATTTTTGGTTTACTTCTTTCCTCTCATTCAGGAATGGCAAATACTGTATGTGACATCCAGGATTATATGGCCCCATCCCTGCACTAGGCAGACATCACTAATCAACCACAGCCCTCCTTACCTACTACCTCCATAATAACTTACTCCCTCTCTTACACTCCCTAGCAGTGCTTTGCCAGAGCCAGTTTTTCAGACCTGAGTACTCATTCTATCCAAGATTCCTAAGGGAAAGTTCTGTGCTGGTCTTTGCCTGCATAATTTTGTCATGCATTACTTAGTTTCCAATTTAATCATGCTACTGTCAATTTCCTATTCAGCCACCACTGGTTCTTCCCTGTTGCTCACCAGACATTAACTCAAAATCAGTTTTGCACTGCTTTCATTGCACCTATCCAATAATATTGCTCAGTTTGCTTCAACAGTCAGACAGGACTCCAGTTACATCTCCTTAGTGTCAGCACACAAGACTTGCTCCTGCATAAGTCTATGCACCTAATGAACACCCACATGGGACTTCTTTTTCTCATGTCTCCTCCATCTACCCAGTGCTGTACCCATCCTGTTACACCCAGATCATGTCTCACCTCTTCTATTCTAGTCCACAGAAGACTCAGCCTTCTCTATAAAGATCTGTATTTTTATAAATGATTAAACATAGTTTGAAATGGCTATTGAGTTATTTCACATGCTCTCAACCACTCACTCTTCCAGAGGTGAGAGTTGGCACAGTTTTCCATAGATGACATTGTTAGGGGTACATTTTTCTACCAAGGCCTCCTGTCCCAAATCCAATCTTATTTCCAGAATGAAATTAAGAGTCTTGGAGGAAAATAGATTTTTTTAAAACTGGTAGATTTCTCTTAGTATTGTAGCTTATGAAAAAAGGATAAAACCTTGCACATAATCCTGTAAGAAAAATCTCTATAAAGGCACAGAAATAGTGAGCATTATCTGAGCTCCTCAACACAACAATCCTCCATGTGTTTCCAAGACTGAATATTTAAATGGGAAAAGTTGTTTACCACCCTTTGCAGTTAGGAAATTAATCTTTACACAGCCATATGATATAAACCAGAATTAGCTTCTCCATTTTAAAAGGACCACATTTTGCACAAATTAAAATGACTTGCTCAAAGTTACCCACAGAATCTGAGCAGAATGAGATGGAACCCTTGTCATCCAAGGCTTCTGGCATAATATATAACTCTGTGAACCATAATGCCACATAACATACAGGCATATCTCAACATCTTTTATTATGACATATTACAGTTTTCTACTTGGTCAACTTTTCTATCAATTACCATATTCAAACAACTGCCTGTACTTGAGATTTTTCTCCTTGTGTAAGCCTGTAAGTAAAGAAAATGTGCCTTTTTAGAAATGCAGCATTTTGCAATTGAATCCCTTAGAATTTAATCAGATATTTGACATTGGATACTTTATCATAATAACTCAAAGTCAGGCACGGTCTCAGCCATAAAATACAATGAGTTGGTGTTTTTTTTTACCCAACTTTGCAATCTAAAAATTTTCTAACCTTCAAGAAAGTTAAAAGTACAAGGAAGATGTGACCCACCACCTAGATTTGTCAATTAATATTTTTGCCATATTTGCTTTTTTCTCTCTCTCTCTCTAAATAAAAAATATACATATGTATACCTACACATTACTTCATTTTTTGCTGATTATTTGAAAATAAGTTGCAAATATCTTGACTTTTCCTTCTAAACATATCATGTTTCTCCAAAAATAAGGACATTCTCCTGCATAACAGCCAAACTATTAATCACATAAAGAAACTTAACATTGGTGATACAATACAGTGATACAACAATAATATACAACTTAACATTGATGCAACCTTAACATTGATACAATCTAACGTAGAGTGCCCAATTATCCCATTTAAATTTTCTTTTTAAAAATCAAAATCCAATATAAAATCAAAAATTACATTTTGTTGCTATGTCCCTTTAGTTTTCTTTAATCTAGAACAGTCCTTCACTTTTGTCTTGTCTTTCATGAAATTGACACTTTTTAAATATTTCAGGTTAGCTGTTTCGTGAAATAGCTCATGCTCCGTACTTCTCTGATGGTTCCTTAATGAGTAGATTTGGCAAGAATGGTACATGGGAGTTGCATACTTCCCATTGAATCACATCAAGAGACACATCAAGACAATAGTACCCCATTTTCATCCAAATGTGATCACTTGGACTGATGCAAGTTTAGCATTGAATAAGATGGTATACAAATTGGTAATTCTTAATTCATGTCTCACTTCTGTGAGTTTGTTATTCAGTG
Organism: Homo sapiens; assembly: GCF_000001405.40. Lineage (NCBI taxonomy): Eukaryota > Metazoa > Chordata > Mammalia > Primates > Hominidae > Homo > Homo sapiens. Next base: position 93,406,595 of record NC_000013.11, on the reverse strand, counting down.
GTTTATGTTAGTCTACTAAAACACACATACATGAAGTTATTGTTCAAAAAAGGATGCACATTTTTATAAACTTTACTTATAGAAGTAAATTACTTTTCTAATATAACCTAATAAATGTTAATGAACTGACTAGAAGTGAGGAGACAGACTAATGGGGACAGAAAAGATGCTGGGTTGAGAGCCAGAAATCCTGAATTTTCCATCCAGGCGCTACCAACAACTCACTGCAGAGTCCAGATGGCAGAAACATTTCATTTCTTGTGGCAGTTCTGACTGATTTGTGGTGGCTGCCTGGAGCACTGTATTTAAAAGGATTCTAAGGCTGCACAACAATTTTGCTTGAGAAGTGTTTTAACTGATCGTGTGGCATGAGTTTTGCAGGAAGAAAATGATAGCTTGTGTGTGATACATTAAGCATGGCCACAAATTCTTCATCACTCTTTCCACCAAGAGGCAGAGTCTACTTCACCAAACATTGAATTTGGGCTGTCCTTTGACTGGCTTTAATGAATAGAATGTAGAAGTGACACTATGCAAATGCTGGAATCTAAGCTTCAAGAAGACTTGTGGCTTATGTCTTCACCTTCTGTGCTAACACTGCAGGCAATAAAGCCTTAGCCTCATCTGAACACCCAACACCAACTACCAGACATGGGAGTGGGGCCTCTAGGACTTTCCAGTCTAATTGGCCCTGTGGCTGAATGCAGCTGCATGAAGGGGCCCAGGCAAAGCCAATAGAGGATCCACCCCACCGTCCAGCAGTATTGAAGGAAATAAATGTGTGATGTTTCAAAAGGCACCACATGTGGAAGTAGTTTATTACACACCAGTAGATAACTTATATAACATATCTCTGTTTTATTGTTCTGTTTTGTTTCATTTTACCCTGGTCATTGTCTCCTTTAAGTCTGACAAACATCAGTTTACTTATCCTTGAAGAAAAAAAAAAGGATTATATTGAGGTTAAAGAAAATTTCAGTGGTAAGATTCAAGCATAGAATCAAATTGGCACTCTCAGTTCCATTCAAGGAAATGCACCCCAGTGTGCACGGACAAAATGATAAAAGCATTACATTAGAAACTAAGAACATTCCACCTGGAAATGACTTTTTACCACTTCAAACATTTCATTATAAAGATGAGAGAACTGATGACTCCAGCGGCGAAAGGATTTCTCTAATACTGCAGTGAGCTAGACATTAATTCTGGTTCTGTAAATTCTTCAATACAGCTGCCAGAACATAGCTGAATCTGGTCCATTTTTGAATCCCATACCTTGTGTGCACTCTGATGGTGCCGCAACACCATATCTCAGATCCGGTAATTAAAGTGTATGTGCCAGGAGATAGATCCACACAGTGGATTTGGTCAAAAAAGAACACGTGTGGACAGAACCCAAGATGAAAACAAGATGAAGGAGGGGGTGGCACAGGACATCATAAGAATGATAGCATCTCTGGCTACCTTTTCTTCTTGTATATTTGCTTCTTTATAAACCAGTTTCCCTAGGAATTCCTAAATAAAAATAAACCCAACTGATTAAAAAAGAATAATCATACCCACGCTGAAATTTAAATAGAATAGCTTTCCTCAATATTCATTAATTTTCATATTTCATTAAAGAAATTCCCATGTTTAATCTTTGCCTTGCTATTCTCATCTTCAAGTATTTGATTAATGAGGTGATTAACCAGAATGAGCTTTAAATCTTCTATGTGATAGTATTTATTTTAAAGAAAACCAGACTGTCATAACTGTTATTGTTGTTAATCTAATTAATTAAATAAATAAATATCAGATTGATAGAAATCTACCAATCTAATAAATGTTGAACCTAATTCTGTTATCATAAAGTTTTATAGGGAATAGGAATTTTATTACCTCCGTAAGAAAGACAATTTGACAAAAGATTTTGGGAAATCCCAAAATTTTTCCTGACTATGTTTAATCATTGCAGTGGTAACGAATACATGTAGCAGAAAATAAGACTGATTTTAAAATGTAATTTAGGAAGCTAATCAATCAAGCAATCTACCAAGAATTTGTCTTTCTACACAAAACGTCCTGAGATGCTTGTTTATATTTTAAATGAGTATATTCTAATATAATTTAATTTTACAAAATTAACTGGAATAACACTCCTGTGGCAATGTGAGGTCAAAGAAAAATGTAAAGACTTAACACTTTTATGATGGCAACCACTGCCATGAGTAAAAGCCTAGTTCAGAATTTACTGTAACCTGGTCCACACTCCACGCCTTCAGTTTTTCTTAATTATAGGTTCTCCTTGATGGCTATAGTTTTGTTTGTTTGCTTTTTCCTCTCAAACCCTCCTAATTGTTCCCCAAAATATATCAAATCCCAGAACTCCAGTCTTCGTTATAGTTGGTTTGTTTTATTTTTTAGTCTCTTGAGGTTAATATTCAAAAATGAAAATAAAGTTTAATTGTGGTAAACAGGTATTAGGTAAAAGCCTAAATAGAGATCTTTTATCACCACAAAGTTTAGTCATTTGAGGTAACAGGAAACAATTTTGTCTCTTAGCTCATAAGAGAAATCTGAGCTCTCTCCCAGGAAAACAGCATCCCCTCAAAAAATATGCCAACTTCATAATATCAAGATGATTCCATGAAGACAGAAAGCATCTTTATTCTATAATAAATCAAAATTTCCAATAAGAAAGGTATATTAAGACAAAGGTCTATCTAATAAAATGAATTTTTAAATGTATATTTATTTTCAACCACAAAGCTCATGTTGAATTAACTAAATATGTAATTCATAAAATGACAAACTCTGGAGAGAGAGAGAAAAAAAAATTAGCTTGATTAAACTCACAAAGAAGGCTCCAATTGCCTTTAAAAACAATATCTGAGGCATGAGCGAGCCAAGCTGGACTAGAAAACCAAGAACTGTATTATAAACCAGAAAGTGGTCAGCAGAGATGATCACATGAAATAATCAGACAGAAACAGTGTTTAGTGGTGGATTGCAATACAGTAGTTTAACCAAATATCTACAAATTTAACCAAATATCTACAAAAGAGCATTGACTATGCCATCTTAGGAGAGGACATCTCTATATGAGTCCACTAATTATGATGAGGTATTAATAAGGTATAATGAAATGAATAGCTGTCTACGGTATCCGTGGTCAAAACCTAACGGATTATGGAGTAAGGAAGTGAAGGCACAAGAAAAGGAATAGCTTCAGGAAGCCTCACAAAACCGCTCTTGAACTTTTACTAAAAGAAGAGCCAGACCAACCAGTGTAGACCTGAAATTGAATCACCCTGGGGTGAAACCAGGTCTTGTTTTCAGACCAATAATCAACTTGTTAAATCAGAACCTAAAACCTTGGCTTGAGAGAATATTATTGTTTTGAAGGCCCAAAGTGTCAATATCTTTGTAATGGTTTAATTCTCAGTATAATAGTAAGATATGAGATCATTGAAATATTCTATGTATATCTGATCTATTTTAAGGAGTTGAAGCATTTAACAGGTCTCTTTTATTAAATCCTTATTTTTATTGACATTGAGAATGTGCCTAGGTTTCAATCAACTCTTAAGTGGTTAGAGAATTAGATTTATAAATGTGTATTTTTCCTAATTAAAAGTACTATCCACATAATTTTTTTAAAAAAATTATCTCAAAGCGATGATTTTTCAAGATATGTATACTCATTAGTAGACAATTTCCATAGTCTTATCCAAGTGTCTGAGGAGGCACAAAAACAGGAAGTGATCAAGTTATCTATTTATATTACATTGGAAAATGGGTCCAATAAGCAAGCTGAGATTGACTTCTCGTAGAGCATGTATTATGTGAAGCACTGACCTCCAAAAAGGGTCCAGTGGAATAGACCAGGAGGGAAAGGCTCATCTCACACATATTTTAAGGCTGTTAGTTGAATAGTATACAATCAAACCTGCTAGATTTTGGGAGCTTTCCAGATAGAAATCAAGGCACATATGGCTACTGTCAGTACGGTGTAGCGCTAAGGACACAAGCCCTAAATTCAGACCGGCCTGGCCATGGCAATTTCCTCAGCTGTTTCCAAAACTGAATATATTTCATGCATCAAATGCAGCTAACTTTACATTTCATTGAATACTAGAGATAAAAGGGACCCCAGAGAGCATCTTATCCAGGGGCCTGCTTTTACAGATTAGAAAATCATTCATTAAGAATAAGAAGGTGAAAGGCCGCACTGTACATCTGGGATGGCGTGCTACAAACACTGAGTTTTGTTTGAGTGCTCTCTCTCCTGCATTGCCCTAGCGCTTATGAAGTTGGCTCGGCACTTGGAGAATTAATTAGAAGCAGTAACTGATGTATTATCTCATAGTGGAAAAAAAGCAGTAATGGTTCAGGAGTCAGAAGACCCAGGTTCCATACATACTTGCATTCCTTATTAGCACTGCTGTTCCCACAAGTTGTTAAAAAATCCCCTAGAAGTAAAAATCATGGATTTTAAGCACTAGAAACACCTGGCCTCTCATCCTGACTCTTCCTTTTACTTGTCCTATGACACTGGACCAGTTAGTTAACCAATTTGGGATTCACTCTCTTGTCCAATTAAGGGAGATAATGCTCGCCTTTCTCAAAGCGTTTCATGAGGATTAAATGAGACAAATATGTAAAACATCAGACACTCGGTAGACACTCAGATGTTAGTTTCCTTCCCCCAACCTTATTCTTAATTTATTCATGTGCAAAATAAGGAAAAAACCTACTCTATCTGACTAGTGCTCCGTGTTAATGGATATTAACCAAAGGGCAGGTATATAAATAAATAACTATATATGATCATTTAATATACACACAAAAAATAAACTAGCCAATGCTTTCCAAAAGCTTGAAATTGGATGCCTCTCATTAAAAAAAAAAAAAAAAAAAAAAAGTCCATTCATGAAGAAGACAGAAAAATAACACTCAGAAGCTGATTTCTCCTCAGCTCTTTACCGCATTGGCAATACCCTTCTAACCCCATCCTCCCTGGTTTCTAATCACACTGTGTAAGAGAGTAGATCCTAGTGTCTGAAACAATATCGCTTTTTTTTTTTAGTGCAACCTAATCTAAATTGACTTAATAAGGAAATAAATTGCAATAATTCTCTTTTAGAAAAAGAAAAGATGGTAACTATATGACATGTCTGGTTTAATGCAGTGTTTTCTATTATACTTTGGATAACATATAAATTCAGAACATGCTTACAGCAACCCCAGTGACCTGGACTCCACCCTCCCTGACAGCGCTCATTCCCTGCCCTCCCTTGTTGACTGTCCTCACTGTGGTCTGGTCCCACTGGATTTGAATAACTTTGCATACATTTGTCTGCCAAGTGCTATTCCAGGTACCAGGAATACGGCAGCAAAAATACAAAAGTCAAACACACACACACACACACACACACACACACACACACACACACACGACAAATACCTCTGCCCTTCTGCCTTCATAATGCCTGATTTCTGGTGGGAGAAGACCACAAAGGTGATATATGATTTCAACTTATATTATGCTACATATTGAATAATGCTATGCAGACAAAAAGCAAGGAGGAAAGTGAGCTGTGTATGAGAGCATTCTTTCAATTTCTGCCATAAACCAACCTCTTCCTGTTCCAGAGGCCCTGACATGTGTGTCCTGCTCCCACCCTCTCAAGTAATTCTGTCCTTGGCAAACTGTAACCCATCCCTCCCTCCTCAACTTTCCTATCTCTACTTTCCCACATCCCCCAGCTCTGCATCAAACCCCTCTTAGAGTATTTCACTGAAGTTTTTATTTTCCCCTCAAAGACATTATTACATTTTGCAATTATTTCTTTCTTTAGTTTTTAATTTTTAATTTTTCTGGGTATATAGTAGGTATACTACGAGGTACATGAGATATTTTGATACAGACATAAAATGCATGATCCTATCACAGAAAATTAGGTATCCATCCCCTCAAGTGTTATTCGTTTGTGTTACAAACAGCCCAATTATACTCTTTTAGTTATTTTAAAATGCACAATTAAATTGTTTTGACGGTAGTCACCTTGTTCTATCAAATACCTGGTATAATTCATTCTTTTTATTTTTGCATCCATTAACCATCCCCACCTCCCCCCACCCTGTCCCCGCCACTACCCTTCCTAACGTCTGGTAATCTGCAATTATTTCTATGATGATTTATTTCATCCTTAGTATCCCCAATGGATTCTAAGTCCTATGAGAACAGGGACTCTGTATTTTTTTTTTTTTTTGACCAGTGCCTAACACCAAGTTTTGTTGGCACTGAAGAAAATGTGTTGAATGGTAGAAGAAAGAAAGGGACAAAAGAGAAGAAGAAAAGGAAAGGAAGGAAAAGGAAAGGAAGACGGTAAAAAGGAAGGGAAGAAAGAATTCATAATTCGGGTCGGAAGAGGTGAGCTTAGAAAACCAAATCTCTAAGAGATTGCAGTAGCCCCAAGCCCTCAAATGGCTAGCTGCATCTCCCCGTCAACCACTTTAAGACCTGCAGGTCAACACCTTGTCAGCCAGTCCTGAAATGTTCAATCAGAATATGCTTTCATGGGAGGTAGCTTTATGCGATTATTTCAATTTACTGAGTTTTATATACATAAGACTCCCATTGTATCTTGCCTACTTCTGATCAGTATTCAAGTCACCTGAAACTCCCTAAGTTCTAGCAACATATTTATTCCTTCTGAGCTAAAAGAAGCTTGTAGAACACACATGCAGTCCTCTGCAAAAGACAGAGATCCACACATTTTTGGACAAAGGCATTTAGGCAGCACTGATTTGGGAAGCTCGGAAGGTGTGGGCAGGAGGCCATGTGTACAAAGCCCATCAAACACCACTGCCTTGAGGGGCACTGGCACACCTCAGAAAGAACCAAGTCCACGTGGTTGCACAGTCTCTGGACTTACCGAGGGAAGAAATTCATTCTTCCTGTGTAAATATGTTCAACAGCATGAAAAGACAGACCCATGAGTCACACTCACATTTCTTTTCTGATCTTGTCACCTGAAACTTTCTGTCCACTTCAGCATCTCGTGTATGCGTAGGAAATATTAATAATTATTTTAAGCCTGGATGTGAATTCCTGTGTTGTATCCTCTCAGAGAGAACACACACATTCATTTATTGATTTCCTTCACTCAAGGCGGATTTATGAAGTACTTGCCATATGCTAGGCACTGCACAAGGTACTGGGTCATAGGGGAAACAAATCAGGCATGGTTTCTGCATTCATGTAGATTACAGTACAGGACAAAGAAGAACAGTGTTAAAACAAGTGAACACAAAGAGTAAGATTACAAATTGCAATAGGTGTATGAAGAGAAGATGCACAAGCCCTTCTAAGGGCTCACTCCCAGTTTCCGGCACTTTCAGGTTTTCCATTCAGAACACGCACCATCAAGGACACTCCCCTTGGGTATTTCAGATCATGCACATGAAAAGAGAAAGAATGAGAGACCACGGTGAATGTGAGAGAAATTCCTTGCTTGTGTGCACGTGTGTGTGTGTGTGTGTGTGTCTGTGTGTGTGTGTAGGAGAGAGATGTGGGGAGAGGGAACTGATCACGGTAACCATTGAAGAAAGGTTTCTTCAGTTTCTCTTTCTGGCCTGAGATAATGATTTGCGAAACACTAAAAGAAGATTGGCATCATGGAATACCATTAGTAGCCAGTGGGACTGAATCAACAAAAGCACTCTCTGAAGACAATTGTCTAATACATAGTCAAGTACACAGGCTTTGCCCTCAGACAGGCTCAATTTTTAATCCCAATTCTATCACCTCATCATCTTGTGATCTTAGAAACATTAGTCAAGTCTTTAGAATGCAGATAGTAACTCTCTGCCTCTCGAGGGTAATGGGAACATTAAATGAGATAATTCATGTCAAGTATCTGGCATAGGACCTGGTTTAAATTATAGCAAGTGTTCAGTGCATGCTAGCTGCCATTAATTAATGATTATTCCACACATGCCATACCCTAATATAATGTCATACTTGAGACAAACCCTGCACTCACCTGGCTATTGCTCTAGCTCAGGGTAAGGGGTGCAGATTCACAAGTTAAAGCAGACTACTCATGTCCTCAACACTCCTCCCTTGCTACAGCCAGAAGACAGTAAGAAAGAAAATGAAGATATTGCACAATTGATTTCTGAAAAGACAAGTGGAGTTTGTAGCATATGAAACAAAGCACACCACTTCTCAAATCACCATTACTCATTCTGAGCAGACTTGCCTCCCCAGAGAGCACTCCATCCCAGACCAGATCCAAATGTGACTCCTTAGTTTGAAAACTCTGCAAGGAAAGCTTAATGGGAGAGACTGTGATGAGATTTTTAAACATAAAAAGAACATACGTTTTTGCTTCAGTGGACTTGGTCTTTCTTGTGGGTGGTTCTATTAATATGCTATCTTTCTCTCTGGTTATACTATTTCATTATCACTCCATGCTCCAGTGTGTTTTGGGACTAATTCAAGGTGTACTGAAAAGCTACTGCCTAAATGTAGTTTGAAAGTGCTGAAATGGGGGCTGGCACAGAGCAAACCAGAAAGGAACCCAGAACAAATTTACTATTGGAAGAATCAACACTGGTTCCAAAGTATTAAAAATGCTTAGTTTCATATAATCCCTTTCAGATACCTTAGCAGCATCTTACAGTGTTAGGAATGCTGCCAGTTTGTGCTAAGAATATACATTTCACACTCTGTACAGGGTCATAAAATACCATATAATTATACTTGGCAAAGGACAGGCTTCCAAGTTGAGTAGGACTTTTTAGGAAAAAAAAATAGCTTTTGAGCAGAGAAAAAAAAAAAGAGGAGGGAGAAAAGAACATGGTTATCTAGTCAGCAATAGGAACAAACCAGACAACTCTAGGCTGTGGTCACCTGGAAAGCTTTACATACTTTGTGTCCTGTAACCCAGCACAGTACCTGGCACATAAAGGGTGCTCATTTTATGAAGAAAAGACCCTAATGAACTTTAATTCCACTAGCAAAAGAGGTTACAAGTACAAAATATAAGGCAATTAAAATGTTTTCTATGGTAAATATTTACAAATAATTCCTTAAAAGTAAACAACCCTGTTTCAAAATGGGCAAAAGACATGAACAGATATTTCTTCAAGAAAGATATCCAAATGGTGACTCAGCACTTGAGAAAATGTTGAATAGTATTAATCATTAGGGAAATCTAAATAAAAACCACAGTGAGATATCACTTTACACTTATTAGATGGCTATACCAAAAAAAGGAAGAAAATAACAAGTGTTGACAAGGATGTGGATAAATTGGAACCTTTGTACATTGCTGATGGAAATGGAAAATGATGGACTGAAATGTCCACTTCAAATGTGTGAACTGTACAGGATGTGAATTATACCTCAATAAGGATATTTTTAAATATAAATAACTCAAAATCCTTAAAATAATTATATAATTTGATCCAGTAATTCCTCTGGGGATCTATCCCAAGCACATCATCCAAATATAAGTATAAATGTTTATCAAAGTATAGTTTACAATAGTCAAAGGTTGGAAACAAATGATGAAGGATAATTGCAAATGATGGCTTAATGTAATTAAATTCATATTCTAAAGAATATTTAGTATGTAAAGTATGCTTTGTTATACCCTTAAATGGAAAATGTAGGATGAAAAGTTGCATAATAAGGGAAGGTTGTGAAATTTTTAAAAGCATGTGCATAAAAATAAAAAGACTGGAGATGGAATAATAATAATAGTTAAGGGAGTACATATGATGTGATCAGGCACTATTGTAAGTGCTCTATGTTATAAAATCACTTAATCATCACAAGATTAAGCAATCACTGATATAAGCAATCATATTATTTCCATTGTATAAATGGGTAAACTTAAACCTAGAAAGATGAGGTAACTTTACCATTGTCCTTAAACTAGTAAATCACAGAGCCAAGATTTAAAGCCTGGAAGCCTAGTTCCAGAGCTTATAGTTCTATTATTATTATTATTATTATTATTTTCTTTTTTGAGATGGAGTCTTGCTCTGTTGCCCGGGCTGGAGTATCATGCCCAGGCATGATCTCAGCTCACTGCAACCTCCGCCTCCCGGGTTCAAGCGATTCTCCTGCCTCAGCCTCCCGAGTAGCTGGGATTACTGGCGCCCGCCACCACGCCTGGTTAATTTTTGTATTTTTAGTAAAGACAGGTTTTCACCGTATTGGCCAGGCTGGTCTCGAACTCCTAACCTCATGATCCGCCCACCTCGGCCTCCAAAATTGCTGGGATTACAGGCGTGAGCTACCATGCCCAGCTAGTTTTATTATTAAAAGGTTAATAGTGAATTCCTATCTATGGATAATTAACATTTTATAATTCTTTAAATATTCTTAAGTTCCCTAACATTTCTACAATAAACACATGTTTTATTACTAAAAAATAAATAAAAACTAACAATTTCAGATGACCTTTACCATTGTGTGTTTAGTTCGGGATGGGAGCAAATGTTGATACCAGTAGGTCAAGTTCACCTCTACCTCAATTTCTTCTCCAGGATATAAAGTAGGTGTAAAGGCTAAGCTACTTTTCCCAAACTATATAGGACAAGTTCCCTAAGGCATTTATTTTCCATCAGGGATAGATTAACACATGACTCTTCCTTTAGCTTGGAAAATAATTAAAAGTTATACTTTACCAGTAAGACATCTAAAATTCCCTAATGGCTTTCTGCCCACATTGTTGAAGTCTCTCTTCCCCCTGCCATCATGTCTAGGTCGGACTCTCCTAAAAAGTCCGAACAGCTGCAGAAGCTCTTCATCAGAGGGCTGAGCTTTGAAACAACCAATGAGACATTCAGGAGCAATGGGGAACAGCTCCCAGACTACCTGGTAATGAGAGTTCCAAACACTCAGGGGATTTTGGTTTGTCATCTATGCCACTGTGAAGAAGGTGGCATGGAAGGTGGCACAAAGTGAATGGAAGAGTTGTGGGACCAAAGGGAGCTATTAAGGTTCTCAATGAGCAGGTGCCCATTTAACTGTGAAGAATATATTTGTTGTTGGTGGCATCAAAGAAAACACTGAAGAATGCCACCTAAGAAATGATTTTGAATAGTATGGGAAAATTGATGTGATTGAAATAATGATTGACCAAGACAGTGGCAAGAAATGGGGCTTTGCTTCTGTAACTTTTGATGGCCGTGATTCTGTGGATAAGATTGTCATTCCGAAATACCATCCTGTGAATGGACACAACTGTGAAGTTGGGAAAACCCTGTCAAAGCAAGAGATGGCTGGTGCTTCATCCAGCCAAAGAGGTCAAAGTGGTTCTGGAAACTTTAGTGGTGGTTGTGCAAGTGGTTCTGGTGGGAATGACAACTTTGATCATGGAAGAAACATTAGTAGTTGCAGTGACTTTGATGGTAGCCATAGTGGTGGTGGATATGGTAGTAGTGAGTATGGCTGTTATGGATTTGGTAATGATGGAATCAACTTTGGAAGTTGTGTAATCTGCAATGATTTTGGCAATTACAACAGTCAGTCTTCACATTTTGGACCCATGAAGGGAGGACACTTTGGAGGGATAAGCTGTGCCCCTGTGACAGTGGAGGCCAATACTTTGCTTCTGTTTCTGTACTGTGGAAAGTGTTAAGTTTGTGTTCTTTGGAAAAGTGTAGAATATTCTGACAAAGGGTTTCAATGTAGATTTTTTTGTGCCCTTGCTGTTGATTTTTAAATGTATTAGTCTGATCATGACACTGAATATATGTGTCTTCTAAAATAAATAAATAAATAAATAAATAAAATTACCTAATACCACATGGAGAAACAAGACCAGATTCACAGTGGAACTTCCAGTGATTACTAAATGACTCTGAAGGGTTAGAGTAGAGCAGGTCTTAACTCAAGTACTTGCTTTTCTACCTATAACTTGGTTTGCATCACTTGAGCCTTTTATCCTGTATCTGTAAAATGGAGGAAATAATTCTGGACCTATCAGCCTCACCAACTTGAAAATATGTTTCATTAACTTTTAAGTTTGTATTACATTTGAATAGAAAGCAAGAAACCAATAACCTAAGAGAGGAACTATCAGGGGCTGATGAGGACATTGAGGTAATCACCAAATGAATTCTTAGAGCAACATTGTTTTTATTCACTTACAAAACAATAAAGGCAATAACCACATAATCACCAAGGTTCCAGTTCCTTCAATCAGCATTTATTGAATACTTACTATAATATGTGTGGGGTTCTAAGCCATATAAAAGAAACCTAAGAATGAGTAAGGCTGGGCCACTTTCTATAGGAACTCATGGTCCAATGTGGAAGGCGTGCAAGTAAATGCATGCTGATGATCAAATTCCATGAGCTCCATGACAGTTACAAGCATAAAATGCTATTAGAATACAAGAAAGAAAATGATATTTTCTGGTGAAATAAAATCACAGGTAGAAATAAAACTTTATAGAGGTAGTAATATTTGAAAGGATCCTTGCAGGAGCAATTTCGATGTTTGGAAAAGTTAGGGGAAGGGGTTCCATTCAGGAGAACATGACTAAACAGCATAAATGTGAGTTTAATATCAGAGATTACTAAAATGAAAATGTCATAAAGAGAGACAACTCTTTTTTTTAAGTTCCACCAAAGTTTACTGAGTCTCTGCTATACATAACACACTGTGCTGAGCCTTGCTATATAAAAAGTGAGGAAGGAATAAGAAAAAAAAAATTAATGTTGACTTTCTATGAACCACAACTCTTAAGAGAGCGTGGGCAGGGATGGAGAGAAAGTGTTTCCAGTGGCAGGAGTATATCATGGGGTCTTGAATGCCATTCTCTAGGGACAATGGAACATGCTGAAGATCATTAAGCAAAAAAGAATATGACAAATTCTAGGTGGAAAATTGAGGGAATCTGGGGATGAGCAAAAACAAAAAAGAAAAAAGAGAGAGAGAGAGAGAGAGAGAACAGGTCTAAGTCCTTATTTGTGCAATAGCTTTCTAACATATGCAACATATATTTTCAAGCTTGGGATTTAATCACAAGCAAACTAGCATTTTAAAAGATGTCAAAACTGAATGTTGTATTACTAAAATACTTGGTACTCTGGCAATGCTAATGTTCTCAAACGGGTCACAAAATTATAGCAAATTTGGCCAGGCATGGTGATTCACTCCTGTAATCCCATCACTTTCTGCGGCCGAGGTGGGCAGATCACGATCACGAGATCAGGAGTTCTAGACTAGGCTGGCCAACATGGTGAAATTCCATCTCTACTAAAAATACAAAAAATTAGCTGGGTGTGGTGGTGGGCGCGTGTAATTCCAACTACTTAGGAGGCTGGAGCAGGAGAATCGCTTGAACCCAGGAGGCAGAGGTTGCAGTGAGCCAAGATCACACCATTGCACTCCAGCCCAGACGACAGTGAGAGACTCTCACTCTCTCTCTCTCTCTCTCTCTCTCTCTCTCTATATATATATATATATATATCAAATATACATATTTTTCTCTATATATAGATATATCTCAAATATCTATCTATCTATATCTCTCAAATTTAATTAACAATAAATGATTAGGCAGCATAGAAAGGTATGTTCTAAACTCCAAGAATCTTCTGTATGAAAACTACAGCCCAAGACAATTTTGATATTATGAAAAACAATCAATATTTGCTTAAAATACACGGGTTTAGATTTTAAGGCATGGAAGAATGTAACAGCTAATCACACATATCTTCCCAAAGGGTTTAGTGAAACCTGACCGGTGTCTTCCCTGTGTTATGGATGTGGGTGTAAAATAACTACCATAGTACTTCATGTAAAAAATATTTCACTACGGTTAGTGAAAAAGTGCCATTTTCAATCCAAGTGAGAAGACATTGCTTTGAAACAAGTGCAAAACTTGGGAAAAAAGGAAACATTGCCCATATATTTAATTTTGTGTTTTATATTCTCTCCCTGGCCGTCTGGTTCCCCAGCTTCCAGCAGGAAGTATGATGCTGAGCCATCAGTATGTGTAGAAGCTAAGGGTCCTTTGGGACTTCCTTTTGTAATTTTCTAATTGTTAAAACCTTGCATTGGGGTATTTCTGCAAATTAGGAGATCTATTAGCTAGAGTAGAAAATCGATAATTAAGGGGCCTCCTTAAGGCAATGCTGATGAGTTTATAGAAGAAACAGCAACTGCACTTTGTGCAAATATCTTTTAAGAAAAGGCAGGATGGAGTTTCATTGTTTCCGAATAAGCTCAATAAAGTAAAAAACAATTAGGGGGGTCAAAAATCATTGGTAATGATTGGTCGTAGTTGCCAGGCTAATGTTGCAATTGGAGCTGAACCTTTCAGTCTGGTCACAAAGCAGGCAGTACAATGAAAATTGCTAAGAATACGCCCCTCAGTTATTGAATAGCAGTGTAGACATTTAGTTATCAGCTTAATTGAACAGGATACAATGAAGACAGAGAGAGAAAAGGATATTTGAGACTCCAAGATTTCCAGAGACACCTAAGCCTCCTATATGTAAGTGTTATTCTATTTCACTATAAATCCTGATTTAAGAAAACTAAGAAGTTGTTTCCTACAGAGTACCATCTGGCAACAGAACACCTTCTGTAAGAGAGCTGGGTAATTTTGCTGATATATAGCTCAAAAAATACAGCTCAGCAGCTGAGAAACTAGACGTTCAATAACCCCCCATCCTTTTTAACTGTCAAAACACTATGAGGGTCCATCTATAGGAAAAAAGCAAAATATATATATTAAAGAATCTGCCGTAACTCATCTGCCAGAGTGAATGTAGCCAATGAAACATGCTATCTTGTAGCAAGATAAGTGCCCCTTAGTATAGGCCACTAAATCTTAAAAGCTAAGAAAAAGAACCCCAAGAAATGAAAACCCACCCTGAGGGGGTGGCAGAATCATTAGACAAGTTGAAACTCAAAAAGAGCCATGGCAAGAAGTGCATGTTGAATTATGCTTAAATGTTTTCTCTTTAACAAAACGAATGCATATGCTTATGTATTTATCTTAGTATCTGAAAAGGATCAAATTAAAAACCTGTACTGTACAAAGCAACACTTACTCCTGAAAGGTCTTTCCATTAGTGTACAACCAAGTCGTGGATTTATTTTACTGAAAGTCAAATCATACTTGAGAAATATGGCCTTTCTCCAGTGACCAAAAGTAGCTGGCATTTGTCATCAAGACTCACAATCAATCTGATCCAGGTAGACATCAGTTATGGGGAGTGACATTGGTTGTAATTATATCATTTAAAATCTCTCTACTACGTCCCTGAAAAAGGACAAGTTAAATTTATACTAAAGTTATGGCTTAGAAGATAGTTATTAGACTTGTAGGAGAGGATAATCGTTTTCTAAATAACATTTCATATTCCCTATGGCTCTAAATTACACTGCTCCTAATTTAAATGGCAGTATATTATTATTATAATTTCTGGTATTTTAGCACTGCTCCATGATGAACTCCCTTTTTTCTATATCATTATAACAAACTTGGTGATACAGCACATAGCAAAGTTGGTAAAAGTTGTTCCTTGATTACCAGGCACACTACCCATGATAAAGCAGATTCTTCCCCATAATAAAAGACACATAGTATTTATTTAAGTAGCCACAAAAAGATCTCAAGGAGGAGACCAAGAGAATTGTGATATACTGGTGACTTTCCACAGAGTTTATATAAAAATAGCAGTGACCTGAGTGGCTGTGAAGGTAAATGCCCTTATAAGGAAACAAAGAACTAAGACACCAATGTCCCCAAGATTTTTTTTTTTTAATGACAGTAATTAAACAAAAAGAAAAAAAAACTATACATGCAAGCTGACAAAAGGCTATTTTTAACAAACATATTTTGGACACATATCATTAAAAGATAATAAAGATCAATCTTCTGGGGAAAAAAAGGATTTAAAAATATGGCTTTAAAACATTGACTAATGTATGTAACTTAGCAGACACCCCAGAAATGGAAACTAAATGCCTTTAAAGTTCTTGGAGCTACTTGTTGAACATTCTCAGTCTCTTTCCACTCCTGCCCATAACACACCGAAAGGCAGCAAACGTGATCCATTTGATGTGTTTTTGAGTCTTAGAAGCTACTTCACCACTTCAGCTGGGTCTCTAGAGTACACTATATTGAGGTCCCATTACCTTTTCATTGTCTCTATAAGTGCCATTACAGAAAAGGAGAAAGTCATAATGTGATAGACATTCACCAGCAGTAGAAACACAGAGCTGAGCCCTCAGTAAAGGTCTCCTTTCCCTCCCACTGGTCACCCCTGGTGCTTTGACCTTCCTTCTCCATTGAAGTTCCCAGAACGGTTTACCAATAATCTTTACTCAATCCTACAAGGCAGTTTGGAAAACTAAACCTTCTAGTCAAAGGAAAAAGAAAAAAAAAAAACAGAATTTTCACTTTCCACCTCATCTATCTTCTCCTTAAGCAAATTCGGTCTATTTTCCTCCTCTGTTTGTCACCCTCCAAGTTCCTCTTAAACACAGCATATCCCCATATTAAGAGATCCAGGCTTCTGGTGGAGAAAAAAAAAAAATGCCTGTCTCTCTTTCCATAATGTTAGGCATCCCACTCAAATTACACATCCTGTCTAACTCTTGAAATTCATTAGTAGTAAAAGCAAGCAAAAATCACTATTCCTTTAAAGTCTGTGACCCAGGAATATCATGTGCAGACTCTTATTTTTTGGCAGTCAATGATTAAATGTAAAAAACATTCCCATCCTTCTAAATTAGAGGGCTTAACAATTTATCCCAACTGTTTTTTTTTCTGATGGTAGACATTTATATGTAAATAAATAAATAAATGTAACATGATTCCATGCTGATTTCCCTTTACTAAAAGGAAAAATAGATATAGTAAACTACCTGTGTGTTTGTGTATACATATATAAACGTGTACATATTTAACATATATTAAAGGTAGTATATACATACATTCTGTGTGTATACATATATACATACATTCTGTGTGTATACATATATACATACATACATATAAATGGTACCATTTACATATATTCATTATACACAGTATATATAATTTTTTTTTTTTTTTTGAGATGGAGTCTTGCTCTGTTGCCCAAGCTGGAGTGCAGTGGTGCGATCTCGGCTCACTACAAGCTCCACCTCTTGGGTTCACGCCATTCTCCTGCCTCAGCCTCCCAAGTAGCTAGGACTACAGGTGCCTGCCACCACGCCCGGCTATTTATTTTTTTTTTGTATTTTTAGTAGAGACGGGGTTTCACTATGTTAGCCAGGATGGTCTCGATCTCCTGACCTCGTGATCTGCCTGTCTCGCCTTCCCAAAGTGCTGGGATTACAGGCATAAGCCACCGTGCCTGGCAGCATATATTTTTATTCAGTCACGAGTATTTCTAGCAGTAATTAGTATTTCTACCCATTCATCCTTCCAGCTACTTTAGCTCTAAGATTTTCTTTTAATTCTCTTATGAAACTCACCCAATAGTAATCATAAATCTCACCCCACATCATTACACCAAGTAAGAATACTGCAGCTCAATAGATATCTTAATACTGATGTTTTATCTGTGTTTAGGGCTCAGTGGTGTCCTATAATTTCTTTAAAATAAAAGAGGAAGGGGAAAGAAATGAGGTATGAATCACTGGTTTAACCATGGCAACGCTGTGCATTCACTGACTCACTCACACACTCATAAGTCCTTTGAGCATTTTGCCAAGCCCTTTCCTAGATGCCAGGGAAATAGAAGTAAAACCTATGAAGTTATTGGCCTGAGGGAGCTTACATTCTAGTGGTAGACAGATAATAAAGAAAGGAATAAACATAAAAATATATCAGGTTTTGATAAGAGCAATGGTGAAAAATGGAATAGAATAAGCTGACAGAAAGTAACGGGGAAGGTGGAAGAGACTATGTCCCTTACAGAGGTCAGGTGGGCAGCTCTAAGGAGGCATCATTTGAGTGTAAGGCCACCTTTTAATCTGGCATATACCTCAGCTTGAGAGAAAGCTACTCTATTCAGCTTAATTGGTGACCTTAGTCTGCCTCTGAATAGGTATAGCATCCAGGGGGAAATCTTAGTTGAAGGTGAATGATACTGCTAGGGCAAATGATCTCTGTCTCCTCATTCAATATCAGTTGCTTCTGCTCCAAGTTGCCAGGAGTCTGAAGAAACAATTTGAGCCCCCAAGGGATTGAACTTGAGCCCTCCTTGGGTAAGGTCATGGGCCAGGCACACTGAGACCCAGAAAGATGCTTCAGGTCTCAGGAACGCAATAGGCTTGAGGTAACACTGGATTAACAGCTGATAAATGTGTAGACCTCCTCCCAAACTCAGGATGCACATCCTTAAAGAGAATCATTAGGCAGTGGTCAAAAGCTTGCACCCTGGAGCCAAGAAGCCCTAGGTTTAAATAGCAGTTATCTTGCTGACACCTGTATGTATTGGCACAAGTCAGTTAAGCTTCAGTTTCATCATCTCTAAAGCAGGGACAATCATATCTCATTCAAAGACCTGTTGTGATACAGGATTGCAGAGTATAATGGATGGAATTTTGGCAGAATTCCTGCCCCATAGAAAGAGATATACAGGATGATCGTTCAGATAGTCACATGTGATATATATATATATTGGGAACTAAGACCAAACTAAAATTGTTAGTATAAATAAAACTGATGAAATAGAAACTTATACAAATACATAAAAGGCAAACATTCTTCAAGCTAGAACCTCAATCTATGCCCAAGAACCTATCACTTCAAGCCCAGTAATATGAAAAAGTGATAAATTCAGACCATATGTGGAAACGTACTTCTTTCAAAGTCTCCATCACAAGAGTTTGGTTGAGCAAATTAATAGCATTTTACAATTAGATCAAATATTTCCATATTAAATTATGTTCTCTTACTGAATGTCTATAGAGATCGTTTGGTAATTTGATCTTCTGACAATCCTATGAATCAACTGTCTTTATCCCATTTTCCCATCTTATTTTTAGAGGCAAAGCATTGAGAATAAATAGCTTCCTTAAAAGTTGATAAAACTGGAATTAGGCTGCAGCCATAAAAAAGAATGAGTTCATATCCTTTGCAGGGACATGGATGAAGTTGGAAGCCATCATTCTCAGCAAACTAACACAGGAACAGAAAACCAAATACTGCATGTTCTCACTCATAAGTGGGAGTTGAACAATGAGAACACATGGAACACAGAGAGAGGAGCATCACACACTGGGGCCTGTTGGGGGTGGAGGGGAAGGGGAGGAAGAGCATTAGTACAGGTACCTGGTGCATGCGGGCCTTAAAACCTGGATGACGGGTTGATAGCTGCAGCAAGCCACCATGGCACATGTATACCTATGTAACAAACCTGCACAGTCTGCATATGTATCCCAGAACTTAAAGTAAAATAAAATAAAAATTGGAATTAGGAAAGAAAAAAAAAAAAGAAAGAAACCATCAAGTCAGTGACCATAGTGTGTGAAATAGTATTCTCTCCTCCAAAGCTTATGTCCACCTGAAACCACAGGATATGACCTTATTTGGAGATAGGGTCTTTGTAGATGTAATTACGGATTTAGTTGAGATCGTGCTGAATTAGGATTGGCCCTAAATCCAATGAGAATGCCCTCATAAGTGACAGAAAAGGACAGAAGAAGACACACGGAAGGAGGTTGTGTGAAGACAGAGGCAGAGATTGGATTGAAACAGTCACAGAACAAGGCATGCATAGAGCTTCCATAAACTGAAAGAGGCAAGAAAGGATTCCACCCCAGAGCCTCTGGAGGGAACTCAGTCCTGCCCACACCTTGATTTCTGATTTCTGGTCTCCAAAAATGTGAGAGAATAAATTCCTGATGTCTTAAGACACCACCTAGTGTGTGACAATTTATTGTAGCAACCATGGGGCAATAATACAGTGATTTTCCACAATATTGTTATTTGCATGTGTTATGATGACTTCTACCAGCCACATTTTCTCTCTCTTATGCCCAAAATAAAGCTAAAGAGAAAAGAATGTCAGAGCCTCTTTCTGGGCCTTTTACCCTTTAAGAAGCTGGGTAGATTTAACAATGTTTCCTGCAAGTTACTATTGACCCTTGTTATGCACTATTAGTGTAGACACTAACATGAAACAAGATTGGTTCCCGTGGGCCATGCTTCTTCCATAAATTTTATTCCTGACAAGAGGAAAAAGGCAGGACTGCAATTGCAAGTGTTAGAACGGTCTGGGGAGACATCGTAGGAAACAATAAACATTATTTTAAAAAGCTTGAAGGGGAGAATTATCTACATTGAAACAGCACTGCCTCTGCAGTAATGTTTCTCCCTTCCATTTAAGGACAGATACATTTTCCATGACAGCTCTTAATAGCGTCTACAGTTATTCGCTGAACTTGCCCTCAAAATTACAGAGTAATAAAAGGATAATAGAATTTGACTGAGTATAGTGGATAGGTGGGCTTTTTTTTTTTTTTTTTTTAACAAAGTGGTCATTCCATTCCCCCTGTATCCCAGATTACCCAGTGAGGGTGCTCTATGTTTCAGGGACTGAGGAACAGCAGTAATGGATCTTTCATCACTGAAATGCCATTGGACCCTTCATTTATTTATCCATACAAAAGGAGATTATTTTCCTTTTTATAGAATACATCCGTGTTAGCCAAGTGTTTAAATGAGAATTGTAAAACTCTGAGTCTGTTGGGTCGAATCATACGAATTGAACAATATTCAGCCATGTTGAACCCAAAATGGCAACTATATAAATTACAATATAATATAAAATTATATTTTACTTATTACTATGTAAACTATAATTACAACAGGGGGACTAATCTTAGAAACAAAATCTGGGGAGAAAGCATTCATTAGAAGCCTGTAACTATGTTTTAGGCATTAGAGAAAGGGAGGAAGCACAGTAGGGAATATAAACTGAAAGGCGTGTTCTCCAACTGTCATTTCTCCACGTTTCAGATTGTCGAGTTAAACATGAGTGAGTTCTGAATCCCGTCCACTTCTTTCTACCCCTACTGCCACTGCCACTGTTCGGGGCCCTGGCCTGTGAGCAGTTGTCTAACAGTTTCTCCACATCCTCTTTAGGTGCCTCTAAACCATTTTTTCTGCAGCTGTTAGAATGAACTTTTCAAAGCATAAATCACAGAGATTAAGTCACCCTCTGCTTAAAGCCTATCAAGGGCTTCCCATTACTTTTGTGCAAACTCCAAAGCACTTGCCCCGGCTTATGAAAGGCGGCATGACAGGGCCCCTGCCAACCTCGCCTATGGCATCTCCTTTCCCTCCTTCCCCTTCTCCAGTGGTGTCCACTCCTCCAGCCTCACTGTCCTGCTACCAGTTTCTGGATCATGCCCACCTCGGAGCTACCTTCAGTGCCGCAGCTCTCTTTGCGTGTCTGGTTCCTTATTCTTCCAATTCCCTCTTCATGGTTTCCCAGCCTAGGACTGTCTCCCAGTAACATTTTTATCTATCACAGCACCGTTTATTCCTTAACACCCTTTTCCCAATGTGTTTATGTAAGTGTATTTTAGTTTGAGTTACTTGCTTATTTGATTCCCTTCTACTGGTCTCTCCAGTAGAAGAGAATCTCCCTGAGGGCAGTTACCACATCTGCTTCCCTCAACATGGGATACCTAGTGCCTAACACAGTGCCTGGCACATGGCCAGCACTCAGAAGATGCGTTTTTGTATGAATGAACAAATGATTTAAATTTAGGAAAATGTATGCTGAAAAAAGACAGTTTTTCTAAACCACGGGAGGGTATCTCATACCACAGGAACAACACTCCCAACTTGTTTGCTATCTGTTGGCATGAAAGTGTTCATAGACATGTGTATTCATACCTCTTTCACCACTCAAATCTTCAAACACTAAATACACAAACAGTAATTAACTTCCTATTATGTTGAACACAATGTGCAGTGTCACTCAAATCAGTTCAAGTTTTAAAGAATCATTTTCTTTCATCACTATATCTTTCTTCTAGTGCATTACTTTACAGTTACAGATCTTTGTATAGGAAGGCAAATTTTATGAGTTTCACCTCATATTCTCCACTTTAACCCATTAATTCTGTTAGCAATTCTTTATAATTATCATCATATTCATCGATCCAATCACGTTACTAATCTGATTACCAACCAGAATTAATTTGTTTTGCCTTTTTTTTAAAAAAAAAAAACGGTTTTCAGGTTGAAACTCATAATGAAAAAAATATCTAAAACAAAATATCCTCACATATCTTTAGAAAGAAAGTTCATGATCCCTTCACATAGGCCACTCATCTCCTTTCTCCTGACTTCCTTTTTGTCTCTAAAGCAGGATGTAGCCACTTTAAAAAAATCTCTTAGATATCTGAATAAATATCAATCGTAAATATTTTAATAATAGAAGTAAATCCAGAAAGTGTGCTTTAGCATTCTAAAGCACTTTTCACATAAATTAACTTTATTATCAAATTGTCTTCATTTTTCTCAATTAGTTGATGTATGAATCTAAGAAATATCATAAAATAACTGATATGTCTTTGGTATGATCCAAGCCTTTAATAAGTGAGAGAACACTAAATCAAGATTATAATAGCATTTGCCAGCATTCATTTCTTAAGAATAAAGGTGAAATATAATATATTGTTTTATAAAGGTTAAATATAAATATAGTTTAGGTACCAAGACTAAATAAAAAGGAAGAAGATATGATGGAATATTCAGAAAGAGTGAAAACATAAACATTTAGCACAATTAAATAGACTTCCATATAAAAGTTCCAATTCCAAAGGGTAAAATGTCAGAAAACTCAAAGTGTATTCAGTCTCCCTATTAAAAAAAAAAAAATTCTTGGTTTGCATAATACCTAAGGGTCATAAAACAGTTTCTTCTCTTAGTAGCATGATTAGGGGAAATTCAGTTTCCCAGCACTATCCAAAAATAGCTTTAAAAAAATGACATGGTCTTCAGAAGGTCAGTATTAAACTACACATAAGTAATGGTAACTAGAAGAGAAATGAGAAGCTGGGAGCCAAGCTTTTTCAGTACATCAATAGAGATTTCAGCTGGGCACAATGGGTCACGCCTGTAATCCCAACATTTTAGGAGGGCAAGGCCGGAGGATTGCTTGAGGCCAGGAGTTCCAGACCAGCCTTAGCAACATGGCGAGACTCCCTCTCTGCAAAAAACTCTTTTAAAAAATGAGCTGGGTGTGGTGGTGCACACCTGCTGTCCCAGCTACTCCGGAGACTGAGGTGAAAGGATCCCATGAGCCTGGGAGGTCAGGGCTGCAGTGAGCCATGTTTGCACCACTGCATTCCAGCCTGGACAGCAGAGTGAGACCCTATCTCAAAATAAATATATGGAGATTTGTTTTTCAGATTAGTTAATCGTCATGATGTTAGGGAGGTATCAAATGCACTGGAGATATTGTTTCAAGGAAAGCTGGAAAAGTCTACCACTCCTCAAGCAAACATTTAGGGCAGATATCACCATTTGATCATAGCAGCCTTTCCCATTGATCTGAGCTGTAATCTCAAAATCTTTCCACACAGGACTCTAGACCGCAATTATGGATTGATTTGAACCCCTGGAAATATGGTACCAACTTTTATATCAGAGGAATGAGAGAGGGAAAGGATGGGTGGGGGCAGAAGAGAGTGAAGGACTATGTGTGTAGAGAGAAACCGCCAAAGGACAAGAGAATGAAGAAAATATTGCTTTAGGGAAGTAGGGACAATGTATAAAGTGTTGAAAAGGAAATGAGATAACCCCAAAGATTAGCTTAGCATTATTCAATGTTTCTTTGAGAAACAATGCTAGACATAAAAATGTAATTTGTTTCTAAAGACTTGAATGATATTCCCACTAATGAAAGTAATGGCATAATGTCAATTTTCAAGATGTACAAATGCACAGCACCTTTTATGTCTTTATAAGATTATTTGACTGGCAACATAGCTCTAGAAACCTAAGGATTCACAAATCAGATATTTCCTTTTCCTTAGCACTATTGCAGAAATTATAACAACATAATTGCCAATGATATTCTCATAGAATCATGGGCTAAATAATAATAATATAAATCTTAAACTATCCTGTGGTACCAAAGTCATTAATACAAAGTGGAGAAAAAGTCTACATTAACTATGATGAAGAATTATATTAAATCGATTGAAAAAGCTGAAGTCAATTTTAAGTTAAAAGTGATGCGGTCCTAGTTTGAAATAAAATTTGTGAAACATTCCCATTTAAATCAATAATTAATTACAACGCTTAAGGAGGAATAAAAATGAATGGTCTATTATATCATTTCTAGGATTCAAGATAATTAGAAAGCCTGATGTTAAGCGTCTATTACAGTACACTGAACAGTTATGCATGCTGACATCAAGTTAGATTGCAACACTAGTCAATATCAGCTTTAGGAATTAGTCAAAAATATCACTTGGAAGAACTACCTGATGATCTCGTACAAACTTTGGACAAGTTGAAATCTTTTCCTTTATTTGAATTGTATAATAAGATCTCAAAATATCTGTATATTTATTAAATATATATTCATTAAAGTAAATTCAAATTGGACATAGGCTTTTGTTCTCCTAAAACTGAAGTATTTTGAATATTTTCTCCGGAGAAAATCTTAAAAAGTAACATACTTTAAATGATCAATTAAACCCCTGTAATTATGACTGGTAAGTAGTCAGCAACAACATGTATGTGTCATTAGGTTGAACTGATGGGTGGATGGATGGAAGAAAGAATGAATGAAGCAGTGTGATGTGGTGGAAAGTCATGATAATAGAAGTTAGGTGGCCTATATTCTAGTGCCACTTGTGTAATTAACCTTGTGGAATGACAATGTCAGTGAAATCCACTGTACTTCAGTTTCTTCCTCTATGAAATTAGAAAATTGAGCTAGGTGATTTATGAGATTTCTTCCATTGCAATGACTCAATGACACGTTCCCAGACAGAAGGCAAGTTTTACCTTATAAATGCCTCAGTGAGACATGTTGCCCACAAGCTCCTGTAACTAAAGCAATAAAAACAATGCTCAATTCTTATTTCAGAGACCTGAATATGAGCTAACAGTCATCCTGGTCCTCTAGAAATTAGTTTGAAGAATTAATAATTATGATTTAAAATTTGGCATATTAGACAATGCTTTCTGACAATTCTTCCCTTTTTTTTGAAAGTGTAGAATGTCCATCTCAAGTCGATAGCATCATAAACAACTCCACCCTAAATTATCTTAGTAAAGATTTTGCCTTGAGCAATGACACTATCAGTTCTGAGTAAGAGCACAATGTCCACTGTGTAGAGAAAATAAGACATCATAAACACTGAGGAATAAATCATAACCTCAGGTACACACACTTATTCCTGTATTATTTGTCTATATATTTCATTTTTAATATGATATGATTTAGAGCTAATATAACAGCTTTATTTCAGGTTATTGTCCTTTAAAAAAATCCAGTCAGTTTCTTACTAGCATGCAATCAATTAAGTCTTAAGACTGACTCACAATTTATGCTTTCAGATTAAGAATTTAAAATGAGACACTTAAAATAAAATTTGGATCTTAAATAGTTTAGTAGAATGCCAGTCGGTGTGTGAAGAGATTTTAGGCAACTATCTGGAGTTAATCTAGACCACTCTCTACCTGGAGACAAATCAATGAGCATAGAGTCAGGGACCAATAAATACCTGCTGATTGAATAAATGTGTGCGCCAATATTGCATGGGGTGTCTTTGCTAGAGTCAATCTAAGACAATGAGTAAGAAAAGAGAAAAACATAAAGAGGGAACAGGACAAAGAGAAGAAAAGTAGAGGCATATAGTGCAGAGTATTAATATCACCAACAATTTGCCTGACTGCTTTTCCATGACAGTGGCACCCCAGTTCCCTTACCTATATCTAAAGACAGTGACTGGCTATTTTCTATACAATCATCTCTAGATACTCAACCCCATAAGGACTGCTGCATCTGAGGCAAATCAAAATGCTCTTTCTAAACATTCAACAAGATTATCCTACAAGTTAAAAAGGAATTCCATTTCCTATTCTCTAGATCTTTGAAAACATGAAGAACAATTTAATGAGGAAGCTTCTCTTTACGCATCACCCTGGGATGTATTCTAGAACATTTATATGACCTTACCAATTCTTATATTAATACCTTTATTTCTAAACAAACCATAAATATCAGTCTATTCGGAATTTATCCTGAGTCTATTTCCCCAATATTCCTTGGTCATCAATGCATTTCAGTAAGTGGCTGCAAAATTTATATCTAGGTACCCATCAAATTCTGTCTTTATTGGTCTCCTGCAATGGATTTTCCTATTTCTTAGGCTTCTAATTTAATTGGCTGAAATAATTTCTGTGATTTAAAACTTACTATATATTTTTCCATTTTTCTCATCAGTAACTTTTAATCTTGATAAGCATAGACAATCAGAGAGATATTTTCTCCTGCATATTAAGACCATAAATAAAATGTAAATATCCCTTACCAGCATTTTCCCACTGAAAAAATATCACCCAGCATCGCCTTACCCCTGCTAAGAGATGGACAAAGAGAAACTTGCAGGGCTCTTTTTTTTTTTTTTTTTTGAGACAGAATTTAAGCTGTTCAACTATTCTATAACCAAAACCAACATTTATTGGCTGCTTCTAATTATTTAATCCCAGTATTTTTAAAGACGATAGCACCTTTTTGTTTCATTAATTGACCATATACCAATTTTTTACAGTTTATGAGAAATACGTGGGATTAATAAAAGTTACATATATTTATTTTCCCACTGCTTAAAAATCAGGTATAACAGTATTTGAAAAAATGCAGCCACTGAACGAACGAGACAATCCATTTGGGTATTCTTTATGGTTTCATTGTATTCAACAGCATTTTATTACGAGAGATTTCCTAGCCTACATATTAAGGAAGTAAAAAAGTGACTTGGGAAGACTGAATTCTAGGTTCTCTAAATTCAAGGCATATATGAAATTATCAAAAATGACAATTCATCCCATGTATTTTGATTCCTTCACTTACTCTTCCTTCTTTTGTAAAAGTTAATGGGGCATATATAAGAAATCTACATGAATCTATTGGTATAATATGGATTAAAAATAGACTGGTCACTTATTTTCATCCATCTGCTTAAGTTCTTAATAGATTTCTTATATGAATCAGTCCAACATTCTAGACATAATCAACTGCAATTACTAAGTATCTTAATATTTAGGTTATAAAAGTATTTATGATGTATAGCCTCACTTTCAGATAATTCTCAGTCTGATATTATAGACAATAATTTGCTCACTATATAGGTCCTGGGATAAATGGAAAATTATGTACATATAGTCTGGGCTATGTAGTCCTAGCTACTTAAGAAGCTGAGGTGGGAGGATTACCTAAGCCCAGGAGAAGATACTGTCTCCTAGGGTGCATTACGGAAATTTGTAGAGGCTGATTCTACCTTGTTAGAAAGTCATTCTTGAGCTGTATAATTTATTGTATAAGTATATTATAAACTATTTTTTTCTTCCTTTATGCTGATTTTTTTTTTTTTCTGAGATGGAGTTTTGCTTTGTCACCCAGGCTGGAGTGCAATGGCATGATCTCAGCTCACTGCCACCTTTGCCTCCTGGGTTCATGCGATTCTCCTGCCTCAGGCTCTGGAGGGGCTGGGATTACAGGCACCCACCACCACACCTGGTAATTGTTGTATTTATTGTAGAGACAGGGTTTCACCATGTTGGCCAGGCTGGTCTCTAACTCCTGACCTCAGATGATCCACCCGCTGCGGCCTCCCAAAGCGGTGGGATTACAAGCGTGAGCCACCGCGCCCGGCTTCTTTACACTGATTTTTAAAAACAATAAGGATAGGTGAAGTGACATATCTAAGGATTTTATGTCAAGATCATAATAAGTCATTACCAAATGTTTATTCTAAAAAGGATACTTTGGGTCTGGGGCTGAGAACCACAAGTCTACAGGGATAGACATGAAAACACATAAAAATACAGTATGACAAGTACTAAAATATCACCATGTACAAAGTGCCTTAGGGACACAAAATAGGGAGCAATTAACTGAGGAATTAAGAGTTGTGTTATATGGAAACTAGTCTTTGAAAGTGAGTGGGGATTTCCAGATGGAGCAGAGCAAAGGCCAACCAGTGCTGGAGGAAGAACAACAGCGGCATCATGTTGTCATAGAAGAAACGCAGGGAGCAAACAATGGAGCCAGAGGATGAATTAAATATGTCAGTTTGGAGCTAGTGCCTTACTTCATGCTAAGGTGTTTCATGCTTATCAACTAGCCATTAGGAAGCCATCAAGTAGCAGAATCATTTCTTTGGTCATTTCTGATTTCAAAACTATATAATTATGTACAATCCTTTGCCAGGATAATTACTAAAGTCTTAATACTTATATTTTGCTTACTATATTATTTCAAAGGCTCAGTCACTACAGGCTTTTAAAATACCTTAGAATGTTCAAAGCAAGGCCATGATTTTGAATGCAAATAAAAAGCAAATTAGAAAAAGAAATATTGGGCTTAAATCTACAGTGCTATTTCACAAATATTCACTTGAAAATGTTATTCCACAGGAAAATACAACCGATTTACTTGAATTAAAATACACATTTGTATGATTAACTTTTCAACCCTACCTCTTTATGTCCTTTGTAACAAAAGGTGCTTCTTTTGAAGAATAGACTTCAGTTTGGAAGTTTCTCTAGGAAATTATGTGGCAAACAAACATTCTCTTTTCTATAACATAAGCATTTTGTTTATCTCCTATTTTAAATAGAAGATTGGTGGTAAGATCATAACAGAGGATTTAAAATCAGGGTGTTCATCAGGAGATACACATGAAAGAATTTATTTGCATCAAACCAAACTGAAGTCAAGGAACCACAGCATTAACAAAAGAATTTTCCCCCTCCTAGAACTGCTACTGGGGCACAGCTGCCAACAACGAGGGCTCTAGAGTAGTGGACTTCTTTTTGTTTTATCAACGTTTTTCAAACAAGACCAACGTCCTTTCCACCCTGAACCTTTAAGTCAGGCTCACCCTCCCACCAACAAATCCCTCTAGGGCTCATAAAAGCAAGTTGTAAACTCTGAGAGTTGTCCAGTCTAGGGGATTGTGCAAGACACTCTCCACCTTCTAGCCCCTTTCCTGGCACTAAACCTTCTTGCACATGTGTGTCTCGTCTCCAAGATGTAGAGCTTCATAACCTCTTTGACTTTGCTCCTTCCAAGTTTCTGCTCCTGACTTCTTGGACTTTCATACGGATGTGGTCTTAGGACATCATGGGAGATTCACTTCAATGCTCTGGTGTTTCTCTGGCCCATCTTTACCCTAAGCATGAAGTACCCTCTGACACTCCAGAGCTACTGAGAAATACTCCTTTGTCTTTCTGCACTTGTAGCCAGGCTGAGCTTTGTGAAAGAAGATTGTGTATGTGTGTACATTTGTACAACTGTGCATTTGTGAAACCATCTAAGTTAGAAAGGAAAATTAAACTAATTTGAAGGCAAGATTTCAGAACATAAATTATTTAGTGGGAAAAAGAAAGGACAAAAATCAAGTACACTTCTAAAAATATTAAATTAAAATTGCTTACATATTTTCAGCAATTCCTAATATAAGCATTCACGAATGAAGCAGAAAATAATAGCTGTGCACATGACAGTGTCTGGAAATGCCTAAACTGGTCACAGCCAGGACATTTTATATATATCATTTATTGAGACTGCTCACAAAAAAAAAAAAAAAGTGAGCAAGAATATGTAAATACAGAAATTAAAGGATGGTTCAAACTGAAAAATGATATAAAAGTAAGTTTTCATATAGTTACTAACCATAGAATACAAACCAAAATCACATGGTAATTAGGTCTGCAATTAAAGATGTCTACCCAACATTTACAATCATGTCGGGTGTTCTGTTCTTTCAAGCCTTGTCTGTCTTACTGTTAGAGCTCTGATGGTGTAGAGATGGCTATATCAAGCACAGCCAAAGCGAAACAGAGGGCTTCACAGGAGTTCAATAATTGTGATACTATCCACTGACTAAGGCAGTTTTTGAGCAGAATTAACCTGCTTGATATTAATTATATAAACCCTGACTTTGTTTCACTACAAAGATGGAAAACCCAATGCTGAATGTGTTTTTAAAATTAATTTTCGATATCTAGTACTGTGTTCACTCACTTTTATATGACTATATGCTTTAAAATATGGATATTGTGAATAAAAGAGGCTGGGTTACATGAGTTCAGTAAAACCAGCCCATAATATCTTGACTTTTCCTAATTCTGGGGCTCAAAATAACAACATCCAAGATACAGACTGATATTCCATGAAGGGGTCTCCTCTGACCTTGCTACTTCCACTCATGTGTAGACAACATCTGCAAGCAACCTCAGGAGCACACCTCCAGCTTACTCCATGTCCTCTCTGTTTCAGGAAGCTCTCTCCCTCATCAAAAAAAAAAAAAAAAAGTGCCAGATGCATGATCTATTGCACAAATAACCAACTGGACTCTGAGGTAGTCCACCACCATTTATTGATGTTATGCAAACAAATCTTTAAAGTTCATTTTATTTTTTAAAAATTGTTATTTTTACTCTCAAGAATGAACAGAAAAGATCCTGAGGTTCCTCCGTTATATATTTTCCTCTTGCTTTAGGAAAGTTAGAAATAGGGAAGAACCACCTTTCTGGCCTCCTCATTTTCTCCAACTTCTGCAATCCATTGCAGGGAAGTCTTAAAATTAATTGGCCTGGCACAGGAATCTGTCATGAAATCAGGGCCAAGGGAAGCAGGCAGAGCTGCCAGGAGTCCCTGCCCACTCCACTGTCAGGTCCCTGTTCTTGTTGTACAGGTTGTCCAGCCAGAATGGCCACTGGGCGAAGGGCCCTCTGAAGTTGCTACCATCGGGAGGAGTGAAAATGAGAAGACTCATTCTTTCCTCTGGTAGTAAAACGGTGGCAGGAGTACACTGGAGAATTTACGGTGACCCGCATTCCCCTCTACCATTGTATATATCAGTGGGGAGTTGGGGAGGGAAGTGCCAGGAAGGCCCAGACCCACTTAGACAGCCAGGTACTAGCATTTAGCCACTCCACGCCGTCTGATAGTGAAGTAAAGCTGAGGTTAAAAGAAATTCTGCTTCTGCAGATTGGAAAATACAAGTTCTTTAAGCAGTCCTCAATGCTGATGGAATAATCTCTCTCCCTCGCTTGGCTTTGCTGTGTTATTACATTACCGCACACAAAGGCATCATCTGGTTCACCTTGCTTAAAGCCATTGTTTTGTTTGGTCTTATGAGTTCCAAAAATAGACCCAGACTTTTAATGTCATTTACATCAAGAAGAATAATTAGGAAAATAATAATGTATGAATAATTAATTAGGCCTGATACCATATTGGAGAGGAGCTATTTTTAATTTACGAAGGCCAGGATAACATGGATTTCAAAGACAGAAGTGGCACGAAGCAATTAAAGGGACAGACGAATGGAAGAACTGACTGCTTATCAATGACTATAGTTGCTAATTGGACTCCATG
Source organism: Homo sapiens (assembly GCF_000001405.40). Classification (NCBI taxonomy): domain Eukaryota; kingdom Metazoa; phylum Chordata; class Mammalia; order Primates; family Hominidae; genus Homo; species Homo sapiens. The sequence continues at coordinate 93,374,980 of NC_000013.11, read as the reverse complement.
GTACTCCTCAAAAACAGGATGATTAGAGATAAAATCAAAGACCAAAGGCATTATAACATGATTCATGTCTCAGGCCATAAGGTAAATTTTGAATAAGAAAAAATGTTATATTTATGAGAAGACTGAAATTTGGTCTGAATTTATCTTTATCTTCAGCTTCATATACCAACAACAACATTAAAAATATGATTACCATATCCATACTTAGCTAATGAAGAAAACAGGTAGGTAGTAATAGCTACCATAGTAGTAATTGCTTAATTAGGTTTCTCATTCTCTATTTGTTTACCTATTTTTATTCAACCTATTTTGAAAATAGTAGAAGGACTTTGAAAGACATAGAATTATTAAAGATTGGTGATGCCAAATCCAAGTTTCCAAATATCTGCAAAGGCCACAGTAGTAGTATTTAAGCGAAGCCATGTCTTCTCTCCCGTCTGCCCTTCTTATTTTTCCTTCCATGACTTAATATTACTCGTACTTATTAATTGGTATCTTGGATCACCCACACTGCCCGCACAGGGTAAAGACTCTGTTGCAGGAGAGGATACCCCGTAAGAGAGGTAGAACTGTGCATCACCTTGCCACTCATCAACTTCCCAGCTGCGGCAAAGATGGGGGCCTGTGTTTGAACATGGAGAATGTTCTTAATCGGGCCTCCTAATTCTACTTTTGGTTCTGCCCACCTGCTCCGCAATCCCTAGGGTTTTATTTACCATGAAGGTGTTAGAATAGATGGGTGTTTTCTAAAGTCTTTTTCAGATTGAAAGTACTTTACTTACCTCAGAAGTCCCCGATTCTGTGTGTTACTGAAATTAGGGAAGAAACTTTAAAGATTGATTTCAGATTTCTTACTTGGACCCACTGAATCAGAACCTCTATGTATAGCTACAGGAAACATTTTCTAAAAGATCCCTAGGTGATTCTGATGATCCACTAGATGTCCACTACTGTATGAGATCCCTAGATTATAAAGCCCATAAGGGCAGCAATTATATTTTATATAGAAATCACTATACAGGGCTCAGGACATTTGAGGCACTCAGTAATGTAACTGCAAAGTACTAGATAAATATCTGCTAAAAATAATTTGCACATTTTTCCTTGTTACTGAGTTATATTAAAAGAAACAATATATATAATAAACGCAAAATGATTTCTTTATTTAACATCATGTAATTATCAACACATAAAACTGACCTCAGATTTAACTAGTCAGAGATATAATTCATAAATCAGGAATTAACTATGTGATTAACATAAATTTGTTTAGTTAATACTATCTTTTGAATCACTAATTCTTGCAGGCATTGATTTTTGCATTCATTTTGTTAATCTGACCTATATTTTTTGCTTTACAGAGTATCACCACAGACGACACACTAATCTAAGTATAATGAAACCACAAGAGATGTATTCTCAAGGATTCAACATACAGGTCATTCTGATTTATCTTCATAAAGTCACTCTTTATACTTTCTTGGTTTGCTTGTTTGTTCTTTGGTTGCCAGAGGAATTAAAAGTCAAAATATAAGCTGATGTAAATTTGTCTCTGAATTAGATCCCTGTTTAGAGTTTAGCAACAATGTCAAACATGCCCTACCAGGAAGCTATTAATTCTGGAAGCAGAGGCTCAGAATGAAGAAAGGAGGTTGTGTATTAGTGTGCTTATTTCATTATGATCTGAAATGTGCTCCTTTGCATTTAAATGGACAGAAAAAGACCGAAGCATTAACTTGGGGTTCATTAAAAGTAAGCATAGCCTGTCCATTCATTACATTCACCCCAAAAATCTCCTCTGGTGAAAAACAAAATCACTAACACAAACAGCTGGGGTTGTGTGATGCCATGCTGCCTGAATACGATTGTTTGATAGGTTTAATGTCACTTTTGTACTATTATACACCACAGAGGGAGATGTGGAGTTGCATCCAGCAGGGTGGCTAACATTCTGTAGCTAATTGCGTGCTGCTCCATGACAGTGCTGAAGGAAAGACGACCCTGCATATGTCTCAGAAGGGAATAGGAAGATATTTTGTTTATAGTCACCCATCTGTCTGGTCACAACAGAATTACAAACAAATACAAACCACAGTTGTTTAGTGTGTCCTTCAAGAACAATTTTCTCATTATATGCATTCTATCAGCTACCTCTCAGATACAGGCTAATAGACTCAGTTTAAATCTTCTTTACCAACAACAGTATGTCTGATATTATAAAGCTTCAACCAAAATGAAGTCTTTCTAATAGACTCCATAATTGTATAGAAAATATTGCCTTGTAGGATAAAGGTTGAATTCATATTTTAAAAAGTGAACGGGGGAGGCAAAATGAAAAACCAAATGCCTACATTTAAATTCATCTGTGCTTGTTTTGGTTCTATGAATAAAGTAATAGAATATACAATAACTTGCATTGGAAAGAATCTAAAATAGTATCTACCCCATAACTCTCATTCTGTGGCTAAGTGAGGTACAAAGAGGTTAGATGGCAGTGAATTACAACCCAGATCTCCTGACACCTATGTATCAATAACAAGTAGATCCAGCTGAGAACCTGTTTCATTAATTTCTTTTCACTGGCACTCCAATCATTCTCAATGCTGAAATATTAATAGAGCCTTACAGACCCAGAGAGACTGGTTTGTAACAGCCAAGACCAAGCAAACTCATAGCCAATAAGCCATCTTCTCAAAAGAAGCAGGACCTCTGCTTCTCTTAAGATATCTGAAACTCTGCCTTGTTACTACAAATCTTTTTTAGATATTATATCTAACCTGTTTGCAAGCAATGTCTAAGTCACATATCTACTATAAAGCCTCTTGTGTATAACAGGCATTTGATACACATACATACTGAAAAGATGCAAGTATAAATGAATTAATGAAAGCAAAGTCCATCAGAGTTAAGCTAATCCCAAAGTGTATCTTTTGCTCATCACTTCAGAAATAGGCCAATCGAATAACCCAATAAGATGTATGTTTCACTAACGTGGGACTGATGCACCCTAAGACCCAAAGTTAAAATTGGCTAATGGGACAATGGAACAAAGGGAACAGAGATCTCCAATGGTGGGCTCTGGTTTAATATGGATAAGGCTAACAATGAATTCTATGACATTAGATTTACTGAGGTCTCTATTCCTAAGAGTCTTTTTTTGCCTATACACAGAGATGCGCCCATTAGCTTTTGTTTTTTTTAAGGTCTCAGGAGCTATATGGCATTGCACTATGTATCTCCCTGCCTATCCACACTAGTGCTTTAGTTTCCCTAATAGCCTTACTGCTTACCTGATACTGAATGATATTTTTAGGTGTTTATTTGTCCATTGTCTGAACTCCTCACTACAATGTAAGCTCCATGAGAGCACAGAAGTATTTGTCTTGTTCACCATGTGTACCTCAGTTCCTAGTACCTCACACATGTGTTAAAGGAATAAATCAGACTGAAATGGTCCATTGCTAGGTCGAATTATAAGAAACTCTAAACAAAAATGCATTTTTTCTATGATTATACTTTATAACTTGCAAGATTCTTTGAGATCATTTTTTCCAGATCACCCAAATCATATTGTTTAATAAAATGAACCAATATTATCTCTCATTATTGCATTAATAGTTTACCTAAAATCTGAGCTAACTAGATTTGGCTGATTAAACCTATTTAATATAATCCTTTGTAATCTCCCTGGTGTATGTGACACACTCTATGATGCCTACCGGAAGGCTATACTACCCCCAACCCCTGCCAAGCTTCATCCTCAATGAAAATATTTCCCGAATCATTAACTCTCTAGCCATAAACCTGATCCCAATGACCTTTGGAAAAATGCATATGTCAAGAACTATGTTACATTTCAACCTAGTTTTCAAAATCAGAATACAACATCTGTCACAACCATCCACATAGCTGTGGACTATGTTTGTCAACATTAACAAAAGTAAGAGATTATTTGTTTTCCAGTAGCGTTCTCCTAACTTGTTTATTTCCACAAACCGTCTTTTCAATTTGTCAAAAGGGTGAATCATTCTAATTGGCTATGGAAGCATGACAATACAATGGAAATAAATGTCATTGGTCTATATAAACATCCATGTAGAAAGTATTGAGCCATTCTCAATGTTTTCTAAAGGAGGAATTACAACGCAATGATACCTCTATGTGAAATGTTTGATAAACAATAAACAAGATTGTTCTTCATTTTTACAGAAAAGGTTTTCCCACACTCTAAGTTAACCAGGTTTGACTATTTAAATCTATGTAACATAATCCCTGGTAATTTGCCTGCTGTATGTGGCAGGCTACATGGATGCTCACCCAATCTTCCCACCAGCCTCTTCCTCCATAACAGGTGCCCAAATTCCAAACTTAACAAAACCTGGATTCTTGAAGAAGTCATGGAACCCCTGAATTAACTGACCCTGGGACTTTGCTATATCTAGATTTCTGATTATTTAACAATAAACATCCTTATTGAGTTGGATCTTCTGTACTTGAAACTGAGAAATCCAGCATTATTTTTCCCTTGCGTAAAGAATAGAACAGTTTTAAATCAATGATTCTAACAAGTTAATATACATTCCAGTTATGAGACTGTTTTATAAATCTGCCTTATTCAAGGAAGAAAAGGGAAAATTTAAGTTGGGGTGTTTATGTTTGTCATATGTAAAGAATAGCGGCAGAAGGCTCTATTTCTTTATCAGGGGACCTCTGTTTGCATGAATTTTTAACATTTCCAGATAGTTCAAAAACCTTTACATTATCTAGAAACCCAAAGGGCATGCCAATTCTAGGATTTTAATTAAAATTTTAAAAGGAGTTTTCATTTCAGTATGATGACAACTGTCTGGAATAATGAATGCAGCATTGTACTCGGTCTCCTCCACAATTTAAAGGCATCTACCCATAAACTCTGGGCAGGAATGAAGAGCTGCCAGAGACAGACAGAATAACGTGTGTCATTTAAGTGAATTTGAAAAGTAGTTCCTTGCTGCTTTGGGGGGATGTCTATTGGCATTTTAAAAAATATAATAATGATACAACCTACATAATCACTTGTCAGTTAGCTTGAATACAGCAGGCCATGGAAAAAACTGATGATTTGAAATACACTGTCTTGATAGATATGAATTTAATAATGATAATTTTAAAGCTGGAAATATTATAAAAGTTGATTGAAGCTTTTGAACATTTCTTTTTATAGTTCTGGTATTTTCATTCCTCCTTATAGAGTACTGACAGTTTTCCCAAGTGACAAAAAAACGTTTAAACTGTTGCTTCAAATGTGGTTAAAACAATAGCAAATGTGAACAAACTCAGCATACTTTTGAGCTTCTAATTCTGCTCAAACTAGAATATCCAAACATGATTATCACCTACGAGTATTTCATTTATTAATAGCCTTACATGCTGTGACTACTAATAGTATTGTAATAAAAATAATAGACTATGCCAACAAAAACTCCATTTTTTCTTTGCTTTTGAAAAGCAATAAAACAATGTAAGTCACAACAGAAAAGTTTTAAAAGTATCCTATTATTGATACACGAACATTTAGGATTGCTGTTTTATTGATGTACTTATCCTTTGATATAGCCACTCCTGCTTCCTTTTGATTAATGTTTCCATCGTATATCTTTTCCCATCCTTTTATTTTTAACAAGTTTATTTATTGTAATTGCAGTGAATTTTTGCTGATAGTACAAAGTTGGATTATGCTTTTTAATCTATTCTCTCAATCTCTGGCTTTTCATCAATATATTAATATATAGACCATTTATATTTAATGTGATTATTGATAATGTTAGAGCATAATCTGTAGTGTCAATGGAGACTACACGAGGAGCCCATACTTCTACCCCCACCCACCAATAATGAGGCACCCCTCTCTCTTCTCACTAGGGAGGTATGAGACAATGTCTAGTAAAGAGTAGGCACTTCTATCACCACTCAGCAGTTACAGGGACATCTCTCCTTTTATGGTGCCAGTGAAGGCCATATGGGGAGCCAGAAACCTCAATCACCATATATTATGCAAACATTAATCAAAGGAGAGTGCAAAGAGTCAGCAATTATGAACCCACTGGGGAACTGGGAAACAGTCTGCAAACCTGTCCCATAAGAGTCTGAGGTACAGCAAATGCCTACAGATGACATTTGCTTAGCTTTTCTTAGACTGTCCATTAACAACCATAAGTAGAATAGCTTTGGCTGTTTTGGATGCTTTGCTAACTAAATAATTTTCTGATTCAGGTGTAGCTTGTTCCTGTATAACAATGAAAAGCCTTCAGAATTAAGAAGTATACTACCAGTAACCTGCTTGTTGGTTCAAAGGTGCAGCACCATGTCTGGAGAATAAGAATGATTTGAGGGAAACTAAGCTGGGTTTCTGCTCAACTCCAGGCTGAAGTTAGAGGTCTGAGGAAAGACCAAGGTGCATATAAATGAAATCCATGTCTTTGAGGACATGAGAAAGGAAATTTTCAAGTCCTTCCTTTTACAACCAAGCTTTTTAAGACAGCATACTATCATTTCAGTCTTCCTAATAAAGGTGCTGGAAGGATGGAAGGAAGGAAGGAAGGAAGGAAGGACGGAAGGAAGGAAGGAAGGAAGGAAGGAAGGAAGGAAGGAAGGAAGGAAGGAAAGCAGGGAGGGAGGGAAGGAGGGAAGGAGGGAAGGAGAGAGGGAGGGAGGGAGGGAAGGAGGGAGGGAGGAAAGGGAGGCAAAGGAGTAGGGAGGGACGGAGGGAGTTTTAATATTAGATAGAATAGACTCAGAGCAAAGACAATTATTGAACATAGAGAAGAACATTGCATAATGATAAAAGAACTAGCAATAAGACAAAGCAATCATAGAGGTGTTTGCAACAAAAAACAGAGCTACAAAAGTATTTGAAGCAAAAGGACAATAGAATGGGAAAATAAACAATTCAATAATTACAGTTTGAGATTTTAACAACCATCTTTTCACAAGTGATAGAACATCTAGACAGAAAATAAGCAAGGATATAGAATAAATCAATAACATTATCAACTAAAAGGATCGAAGTGACATTTATAGGATACCCAACAAAGCAGATTACACATTCTTTTCAAGAGCTCACAGAATATATGCCAATATGGATTATATTATGGGTCATAAAACAATCCTCAACAAATTTTTACAAATTAAATATATACAGAGTATATTCTCTAGCCACAATGGATTCAAACTAGAAATCAAGAATAGAAGGATAACAGAAAGAAATCTCCCAACACCTGGAAACTAAGCAACACACTATTAAATAATCTATGGGTCAAAGAGGCAGTTAGTTGCAAGAGATATCAAAAATTACATTAACCTGAATTAAACTCAAAATAGAACATATCAAAAATTTGTGGCACACAGTTAAAACACTGCCGAAAGGAAATGCATACACTGAAAAAAGGGAAAGTCTCAAATCAGTTATCTAAGCACCCACTTCAAAAACCTAGAAAAAGAAAAGTAAACCTAAATAAGACAAACAAAGGGCATAATAAAAAGCAGAAACCAACGAAATAGAAAACAGTAATGTAATAGAGAATTATCAATGAAACAAAAAGCTGAATCTTTGGAAACAGCAATAAAACAGACAAACCTCTAGCAAAGCTAACAATGATAAAAAGAGGTATGACAAAAATAATGCCAAAAATGAAACTAGGGATATTCCTTGCTTCTCTTTTTGATATTTCATCACTAGCATCAGAATAATTGTCCACACAATTGACACTATTATTTAACAAAGAGTGAATTTCTTTCTGATAGTATTTTGTAAGGTAAGCTCTTTCTTACAGTAGGTATTCTGAATGTGCACCTGTTTTTCACCTAACTTCTGGTACTGCCATATCAACTAAGCAAAGAAATGTTTTTTGGTGATGATAAAATTTTAAGGTTGAAAAGCATAAAGAGTAAATGAGCTTTGCATGTGTTGCGACTTGGTTTTGTAATCACCAGCACATTCCCAGCATTAAGAATAGTGTCCACTGTATCTCTAAGACAGTCAATATTTGCTGAATGAATAATTGAAGTAATTAATAATTGGAAGTGTACGAATTGTGTAAGTTATAAAAAACAGACTAGGAGTTTAGAATAAATGCTTGACTTACCTGATTTTATTACAAATAAATTCATAAATCAGAGCAAAAAACCATAGGAGAGACAGAAATTCTGGGAATGAAATCTGGCTTATGTATAAATATAGCATAAATTACTGCTCAAACTTTTGAATGTCCCTGTTGTATTTCAAGTCTACCCAAATAAATGGATTGCAAATCATTGGAAATCTGCTCAATTTGAATGAGTTTCTTTCCCCTAACACTCCCCAAAAAGTATTGCAAGACTTATCAAAAATAAACTGTAAACAAATTCATCTTAGTGAAAAGTGGATAGAAATTTACAATAAAAAGATTGGAGGAATGTGGGTGGCTCATTTTAGAAATTTAAATAATTTAATATCGTCATAACTTCTAGAAAGGAAATTGAGCTGCAATGAAGCATGCATGTCCTCTTCTACATTATCTGCAACACTGCATGTAGTCTGCACACATTTAATTAACTAATAAAACCCCTATCAGTAACATCAGGTTTGGAAATGTCATTGTTGATGACATGCTGCTCCATCAGAATTTGGTTGATTGTATTTTATTTTGTTAACATTAAACTACAAGGTATCTAAGGGCACTGTCTAGCACTTCTATTTGCTTTCAAATATTTCTCAATTTATGTAAAGTTTATTGGGGTTTTTCCATGTAAATTTACAGACTGCTATAAATACAATGCCCTACTAAAGAATGATTTAAAGAAAACCTGAGATATATAAAGAGAGCATAATTACAAGGGGATTCAGTAGACCACAAATTGTGTTCTGCTGCATACAAATCAGGTTGACACTCTGACCAGAGATATATAGTGTATCTCTCACCCCACTACTTGGATTGTTTTGATGCTTGTTACCAAACCTTAGTAAAAATATGTAAAATATGACTATGAAACTAAAATCCTAAAGCTGGAGAATAGAACATGAACAATATTTTCTGCTAATATTTTATTCAACATGGGAAATATTTATTATATTTGGAAACCTCTTTTTTCCCTGGAACTGAAGGAATCAGAGAAGAGCCAACACTCTACATATTCCACAAGGAGATAGTGTCAGCTTAGTGCAGGAAGAAAGTTTGGTAGGAGTCTACCATGTAAAGTGATAGATGGCAGTACCATACACAGTCATCTGGTCCTTCAGAGATCACTTTCCCACTGCCAGAATCACAATAATTGTTCCCCTAAAATAATTATGATAAATTTGCCCTAAAATTTGGGGTCTAATCTTCATTAAAACACATATGCACATATGGTGAGGGTATTTACATTAACAAATGTGACACTACTCTGGACCTGAGTTTCATTGTTGGGAATCAAGTATTTTGCCACCTAACTCTAGTTTATTGATTTAGGAGCTGTCATATTTCAAGCAGGTTGGAAAAGAATGATTATTTTTAAAACCCCTACAAGGCAAAGTGATTGGTACTATGGAGCTGTTGTTAAGGCAAAATATCTGACTATGGTCATTGAAAAAGTAAGAAAGTGGGTTGGAAATGAGAGTTTGAGAATCTTATACAGGACCTACCAAATCAGGTTGATCAAACTTAGCATATGACTAGATATTGGAGGGAATGAGCCAGGAGAGTTCCACTGCCAGGAAGAGAGGCTGAAAAATGCCACGTACTTATATCAGGAAGAGTGTCAGGGAGAGTGGAAGACAAGTCACGGGTTCCCTCTTTGAATGGATAAACTTGCAGTTTACTGTGGGAACGCATCAGCCAGTCAAACATGCTGGTCCATGGCTTCAGAGAAAGGGCAGAAACTAGAGTTAAAGATATGAATACTTTTCATTGACATGGGGGTGATGTGGAGGTAGAAAGAAAAATCAGATCTAAATGCAGAAGATGTAGAAAAAGAAGAACATGGAGCTAAGACTATTACACTAGAAAACCAGTAGTGTGAAGGAGTATGCCAAGGAAGAAGAACCAAAGACAAGATGGGGAGGATCCATAAATGGAGACAGACCGGAGGTGAAGGTGTAATGTATGCAATAATATGGAGTGCTTCAGAGAAACAGAGGAGAAGGAGAGTCAATACACCTTGATGCATGTTCAATCATATACAATTAGCCAATTGGGCAAGATATGTAGTCTGATCATTGGAGATATACATATATATAAAATACATATATATATACATATATGTGTGTGTATATATATGTGTGTGTGTATATATATATACACACACACACATATTTGTGTGCCTGACCCCACTACAAGGAGAACTGAGATATATGAAATTGTTTTAGAGATAATTCATTTATTTCAAACAAGGCTCACTTAATTCATAGCTTTTACTATCCCATCACTGCTTATGGATTAAAAATAAGGAAAAAAATGCTCCTAAATGACACACCACAGCAACATATAGCATCAACGACTAATCCTCAACAGAGGCTTTATTCACATGACAGTTCCTTCATGAAAGGTGAAAACACTAACGTTGCTGTAGTGTTTTAAAAACTGTTGACTCACCGTGCATCATTGTGATTTTCTTACATCTCCTCTGGATAGATAACATACATTCTCCATGAACTTTACTGTTCAGCTCTGCTTATGACACGTGGTGACTAAACCAAAAATCATTTTCGTCTTCATCCACCAAGAATAATCTTTTTGACAATTTTATTGCTTATATTTACTAAGACACAGGCATGGGCAAGGACTTCATGTCTAAAACACCAAAAGCAATGGCAACAAAAGCCAAAATTGACAAATGGGATCTAAATAAACTAAAGAGCTTCTGCACAGCAAAAGAAACTACCATCAGAGTGAACAGGCAACCTGCAGAATGGAAGAAAATTTTCGCAACCTACTCATCTGACAAAGGGCTAATATCCAGAATCTACAATGAACTCAAACAAATTTACAAGAAAAAAACAAACAATCCCATCAAAAAGTGGGTGAAGGACATGAACAGACACTTCTCAAAAGAAGACATTTATGCAGCCAAAAAACACATGAAAAAATGCTCAGCATCACTGGCCATCAGAGAATTGCAAATCAAAACCACAATGAGATACCATCTCACACCAGTCAGAATGGCAATCATTAAAAAGTCAGGAAACAACAGGTGCTGGAGAGGATGTGGAGAAATAGGAACACTTTTACACTGTTGGTGGGACTGTAAACTAGTTCAACCATTGTGGAAGTCAGTGTGGCGATTCCTCAGGGATCTAGAACTAGAAATACCATTTGACCCAGCCATCCCATTACTGGGTATATACCCAAAGGACTATAAATTGTGCTGCTATAAAGACACATGCACACGTATGTTTATTGCGGCATTATTCACAATAGCAAAGACTTGGAACCAACCCAAATGTCCAACAATGATAGACTGGATTAAGAAAATGTGGCACATATACACCATGGAATACTATGCAGCCATAAAAAATGATGAGTTCATGTCTTTTGTAGGAACATGGATGAAATCGGAAATCATCATTCTCAGTAAACTATCACAAGAACAAAAAACCAAACACCGCATATTCTCACTCATAGGTGGGAATTGAACAATGAGAACACATGGACACAGGAAGGGGAACATCACACTCTGGGGACTGTTGTGGGGTGGGGGGAGGAGGGAGGGATAGCATTGGGAGATATACCTAACGCTAGATGATGAGTTAGTGGGTGCAGCACACCAGCATGGCACATGTATACATATGTAACTAACCTGCACATTGTACGCATGTACCCTAAAACTTAAAGTATAATAATAATTTTAAAAAAAACAAAAAAAAAAACAAAAAAAAAGGAAAGAAAAAAAAAGACACAAAACCTACTGACATTATTTAGTACTTATGAAACGTCTTGGTAGAGATACTAATACATTTTGCAGCCATTTAAAAAATAGTCGTTCATCAGTATAATGTTGAATTCAGACTGTTCTGACCTGTCTTTTCACCTAAAAATTAATACTAGCACTGTTTGGCAGAAGTCAGTGGGGCGATGGAATCTGGGAGACTCACATTTGTACTTGCTAAGCAATGCATTTATTTAAAAAGATGCAGAGTGCTTAAAACTTTAACAACCACTTGAGTACTCCTTTAAGAAACATTTATTTAGGACAAAATGTACCACAGTTGTTTCCTGAAGATTAGTAAAGCAAGTTAGAACATCAGAAAATGACTTTTCCTATGTAAGACCTCACCTCAAACCCTTTAAAAAAAATTTTTTTTTTTATTATCAGTAAGTCACTTCCAAACTCTCTCCCTCTGTGAATAAGTTCAGTCAATCTAACTCCAGCCATATTTATTTGGAATATATTAAGTGCCTGACAGTACTCGAGCAGAACTCCATCTCACAGTTATGTTTTTTAGTAAAAGTCACTAAGACAATATTTAATATATTTGGGCACCTTTCCTTTGCAGTTATTTGGTCCTGATGTCACAGAAAAATGGATTTTCCCACCCTTACATTCTCACCTTGGATGGGTTTACAGCCCTTGATCAAAGAGACTCAATCACAGGTAATGTCTTTATGGGTACTAATACTGTAAGGAGATGGTAAAATGGATCTACCACTCAGAAATTCAAAAGCAAAGGGTTACATTCAGAGGAACCAAAACATGCTGGAGAGACCTTGGAAGAATACAGGGCAACTGAGAAATTCTCTCCAGGAAGAACTGGGCAGAGACAATCTGATGTTTGAGGAGCTGAGTGCTTCCACTGAGCTTGCACAGCAAGCACACAAGCTGTCCTCTGATTAGTTATTTGGAGTGGCATGTAGAGGTGAACTGGCAGAGATATTATAGAACTAATGAACCCCAAAACATACCCCAGAGCATCCTGACAGCAGAGATTATGAAAGAGTTACCTTATTTATTACAAAACACAGTTCTCCTTCAACTAACAATTCATCACTTACTGAGGCTGGAGTCTTTGTATGATCATCCAGTCACAAGTGAAAGATCAACAACCAAGAGTAAACAAAACAGTTGCAATCCTGCAAGTGAACAATCTGTCTTCTCTTGAAATTCTCCCAGTTGTGATTATCTGCTTTGACTGCACGGACCCAGGGACTCTAGAAACTCCTTTTGCCCTTACTGAAGTCGGGTTTTTAAGGTCCAGGTTTTTTTCTGCCTAACCACTACTGCTGTTCCTGTATCTTTCATTTATCTCTGTCTGTTAGCATTTGCAGGGTCTCGCATCTCATAATAGAATAGGAAGTACTCCTTTAAGCAGAAAAACCAGGATTCTTTTCCATCTTATTTTGTGCAATTTGTAAACACTTTTTCTTTTTATGAATATATGTATTAATAGTACCTGTTTATTATAGAAGATTTAGAAAATACACGTTTTTAAATGAATAAAGGAAATATTTAATCTCTTGCAACCTGTAGATAATGGCTATGAATGTCTGTTCTATATCTTATGAACATCTATGGCATGATGCTTATTTCTCTGGATAAGAAAGTTTTTATGCCCCAGGATAAGTCCTACATAGCAGGATGGAGCAATATACATCTTAGGGGTTTGTGGGAAGGAATTAGAGACAATGACAGGGAAAACAGGCTGCCAGATGCTTTGCAACTTTTGCCTAATTTTTGGAAATGAGGTGGGAACAGGCAGAAGCAATGGGGTTTTGAACATTTTCTCTGTTTGAGCGGGAAACTCATCTTGGTTCCTAGGGCCTATGTATGGCAAGAAAGTTTCAGAGCTTCAGGCAAGCAGCAAGGAGAATCCATAAGGTCTGAACTGTGACAGGAACCAAGGGCACAGCAGCTTAGGGCTAAAGCATGGGCCACTTGAGCTGATGAACAAATATAAACAGCAGCCAGATTTCAGGAGGTATCCGTAGCACCAAGCAAGAGGTGGTCAGCAAGAGAGGGGTGCGTTTTGCAGATTTGAAAAACAAAAAAAGCGAGTAAGATTCCAGAGGACAGAATCAGACCAAACACTGCACAATAGATCCAGAGGCCCATACCCTAGAACTCAAGCACTGGCCACACAGTGGGGTCACGGAGTTAAAGGCTTCCACATCCACACTAGAAGCCTCTAAGTCTGCCTGCAAACATAGATTTTCAGAAGGGAAGAAGGATAGAAATAACTGATCAGGAGTTGAACTGTGAACCTATTGAATATATTTCTAACAGAAAGTGTTTGGAAACCAAAAGCGACTTTGGAGGAAAAATAATCCACTGATAACTCATCAACATACATCAATTCTATCCCACTCCAACCATCACTACCAGTAAGGGTGGGGGATTCAAAAGTAAACACATCAATTATAGAAAACTTAAAAGATTCTATTTTGCTGCACATCTAATTTGTAGGCACTTACTTTTTTTATCTACACACACAGCACACAATAGAATTCTCATATTTCATAAATCCATGATATTATTTTATAGGCTCTGGTATCCGTGGACCATACTAACTTTTGGGCTACAGTAAAATGACCTCTCATTCTGTATTGCTCTCTGTGCCTGCTTTTTGTGACATGCCTCTGTCACCTACTCACAAATTCACTCTCACGCCCTGGACATCTCTCAGGGAGGCCAATGCCTGTTCTGCCACCTCTGACTCCTGTCTCCCATCTCCCTTGTCATCCACTTTCACTGCACAGATTGGCAGAGACATATTTCAGTCTGGTCTCTGAATCCATCTCACAACCTTATACTTGACGATTCCGATTCTCTAAGTGGTTTTCACTCTGGGGTTTCAACAAACCTTCTGGTCTCTACTTTCCGCTCAGTAGGAGACACTCTTTATCCTGTTTTGATGTTTTTAAATTGGAGGCAGTAACTTGTGGAATGATGTTCTTTTACTGGCTCTCTCTAGGAACTAGACATTTTCTTTACAATCATGTTCCTGAGTTTCCCCTTTGAAAAAACTTTCATCTTCTCCCAATGACTTAGGGTAAAGAGTAAAAATTCCATGTTTAATACAGAGGCTGGGAAGGCATAACAGCTTATATTCTGATGGTTTCTCTTCCAACACGTTTTAACTTTTTAAAATATGTTTTCTTTGCCTAATTATTTTGTTTATTCAAGATAGTAATGCATGGAGATTAAAAAAAATGTTCAGATTATATGAACAGAATGACATAGTACAGAAAGATCCACATGCTCTATGTTTGCAGACTTACCTTGCCTTCCTCCAGGTAAATTACTGGCCAATAACCTCTGTCTCAGACTTTTCACATTACCTTGAAATATTTACTCTCATTAGCAGTACCATTTTGAATTCATACTTCCAAAGCCTCAGAAAACTTTTCCATGTTTCAAAAGCATTTTAAAATATACTTAACTATATTTAAGGTCCAGAAAAATCACAGTTTTAATATTTTCCCCATTGCAGTTTGCACATTCAACTATTGCACATATCAAATATGTATATTTATTATAAACACATATACATATATAATTTTATTTTTCTAAGTAGATAACTTTTGTCACTCAAAGCTTGTAATCTCATGGATACACAGGCACAGAATGTACGATTATCCCATTTTACAGATGAGGAAGTTGAGTAACAGAAGATTCTATGGCCTCCTTGAGGTAACAGAGCTAGTAGAATAAAGGTAATGCAATGTGATGACATAAGAAAAATCAATTAGTTATTATTATTATTTTTTTCTACACAAGAATATTAGGTTGGGTGCGGTGGCTCATGCCTGTAATCCTGGCACTTTGGGAAGCCTAGGCTGGAAGATTGCTTCAGCCAAGGAATTTGAGACTGGCCTGGGCAACATGCTGAGACCCAGCCTCTATAAAAAATTTAAAATTAGCCTAGCATGGTGGCACGCATCTGTAGCCCTAGCTACCTGGGAGGCTGAGGTGGGAGGATCTCGAGCCCAGGAGGTTGAAGCAGCAGTGAGCCGTGATCACACCACTGCACTCCAGCCTGGGCAAAAAGTGAAAAAAAAAACAAAAAAAAAAAAAGAGAGAGAGAATTAAGGCAATACATTTCTATCTGCATTTGAGCTTGACAGACATAACAATCACCTAAAACACTTTCCCCTATTAATCATCTATTACACAGTAACACACTGAACATCACAGGGAGTGGTAGACATGCCTGCAAAAATCAAAACCCCTGCTCTGAAGTCATTTTCACTCGTGCTGGAGCCACTTACATAAAATGAATATATAGTTAAATTTATGTTCCCAAAAGATATGAATGAAAACAAATACAGGAAAAAAATCATCTTCCAAAATTTTTTCTTTTGAGAAAAGATAGGATGATTGGTATTAAAGGCTCAAAAGATGCAAATTTGATGACTGCATATTCCTACATGATAAAATTAGACATATTTGAATTGCTTCAAGATGGGTTTTTCAATGTAGGCTTTAGAGTCATGCTGCATAGGTTCAAATTCCCACTCTGCTACTTAAGGGCGGTGGGACCTGTGGCTGGTTCCTTCATTTCATTGTGTCTCATTGTCCTCATTCATAAAGGGGGAAGATAGCCACCTCTTGGTATTGTAAGGATAAAATGAGAGAACATAAGAAGCACTTACAACAGTCTCCAGCACACTGTAAATACTCAATAAATGTTAACCATTTTTTTTTGTCTTTGAGACAAGGTCTTACTCTGTCGCCCAGGCTGGAGTACAGTGGTGCAGTCATAGCTCACTGCTCGATCTCCCAGGCTCAAGCAATCATTCCACCACAGCCTTTGAGTGCTGGGACTACAAGCATTCACCAGCACACCCAGGTAATTTTTCATTTTTTGTAGAGACAGCGTCTTGCTATGTTGCCTGTGCTGGTCTCTAACTCCTGAATGGAAGTGATCTTCCCGCCTTGGCCTCCCAAAATGCTGGATTATAGCCATGAGCCACCGTACCCGGCCAATGTTAACTATTATCACAAAAATTGCAAGCATGGATTCCTTTCTAAGAAAAAGAATGTTCAATTATGCCATATCCCATGAGGCATCCATGAACAGACCACTCGTAAGCAGTCACTTCCTGGTTCTTCAAAGATACACATGCATAAGACACCATCTATTCTCAGATAACACCAACATACAGTAGTCCATATTCTAGTGTAACCAGAAGAAATGTGATATACAATTATTTACATTTTTTGGAGGCAGGCTGTTGCCCAGGCTGGAGTGCAGTGGCACAAACATGGCTCACTGTAGCCTCAATCTCCTGGACTCAAGCGATCCTCCAGCCTCAGCCTCCTGAGTAGCTGGGACCACAGGCACACAATACCATGTTTGGCTATTTTTTTTTTGTAAAGATGGGGTCTTTGTCATGTTGCTCAGGCTGATTTTGAGCATCTGAGCTAAAGCAATCTGCCCACTTCAGCCTCCAAAACATTACAGGCTTGAGCCACCATACCCGGCCAATTATTTACATTTTTAAAAATAGAAAATACTTATTTTGCCCAGAGAATAATGTGGTGCCAAAAGTGTTATCTATCCATGGAGATGGAGTCAAGCATTAAACAAATTAATGTTGTTAGGATCCTATAATCTATTTTCCCCATCTCCTTTCTATTCATTGATAACTCAATAGCAGATAATAAAAAACAAATTTAATTACAGTTCTGAATAAATGAAAAGGGGAAAAATATAAAACCAAAAGGTACATTTAAACAATTACAAAATTGAACAATTTAATTCACCAATGCTGCTCATTTTAGATACCTTTTAAAATAAGCTAACATAACCTGCAGCGAATAAAAACCACCTAAGAGCAACTTAAAACTCCTACTTGCCCAGCTTGCAGAAATTCAGTGCACAATGAAGGTGATTCACTCTGCTTGAGGGAAATGGAATGACCTGTCTTGATTTTACAGTCATCACATTATCTACCAAATGGAGGAAACTGGGTTATACACTACAAATGCAAATAGCAGGAGGAAACTTACTTTTTTATTTCTTGCTGTTTTCCAAAAACTTCAGATTTGGAGTTGGCACTCAGAAGCCTCTATAGAGGATTCATTAAATTCTCCTAATGCTTGCTGATGTAGCCTGGTGACCCATGATCTCATGCACAAACTCAGTTCTATATAGTAATCAGATACACATTTCATCCTTGCACCTGTATCCATCTCCCAACAAGTCAATTCCATGTACTGGTCTCAACACAATTACATTATTGACATTTCTCAGCTGAAAGGCTCCTGCAAATACCATCCAATTTTCTAGTTCTTTCTGAAAAGATCAAAAGATACACCTTGCATAGTAGACAAGAATTTATACTGATGGCTGTCTTTTGTCTTCAATACCAATGCTGCTGGCCGTGTTTGCCTGGAGCTAACAAGTAAGTCTCTATGATAACCAACCGCATTCAGTCAACTAGAGTGACTTTTACTGGACATAAAATATGTTTGTGCTTGCGAATGCTTTTTCAGCTTGGACAACCTTCAGGCAATGATCTTCAAGGCCTCCTAATTAGGGAGGTTGGCAATCAAATGAGGAACCTTGCCCTTGGTAATCAAACATATGTCATGCCTGAAAGGGAAATGCCTTCTTCACTGGATCATGGCTCCCATTTATGGAATAATTTGCTATTATGGGCACAAAGTCTGAATCTGTTTTCAACAGAGCTCTTGCTTGTTCCTTGTTCAAGAAAATTATCTTGAACTCTTGCTCTACTGGAGACAAAATAAGTGTGTCGTATCTCAGAATGTATTGCTTAAAGTCTGAGATTTCTTTTAATGAGCTAGAAGATTAATTGTATGAATTCACCTAAATGGGTGATATTATTTCATCCAGCTCCGTTTATTATCTTGCAACAAATGAGGACCAAATTTCCTTCTGTACCTCTGGTCTCTCTGCAAAGGCCAAGATTATATTTACAACTGGCTGTGGAAAATTCCTACTTGTACATGCCTTGGATACAAGTTCAGGATTAAACTCCTCCTCCCCTTTAAACCAGGTCTTCCTCATGGCGTCTCTATTTCGAGCTAAGACACCACCATTCTCTGAGTTCCCTGTGTCCAATATCACAGAGCCTCCATCCACTGCCCCAGTCCTATTTGCTTGTCCCCTAACCCAACCACTACCAAGGCCTATTTCTCACATCCTGCCATGTCTTTCTCCAACATTTCTCACATGCACCCCATACTTCCTTTTTATTTCCCTTCCCCCATAACGTGCAGCACCACCCTGCCCCAGAACATCACCATTTCCAGACTGGACTGCTACAACACCTCCCTGTTCCCCAGCTCCCACACAGAACCCCAGTCAATACACTGCTGCACAATTATTTTCTTACAGCATAGTTCTAGTTCCATCACTTCTCTGCTGAAAGCCTTTCAAAACATTTCAGAGCCTCTGGAGTTAAGAAACACTTCACCTTGATAAAGGTGAATTCTTTGTCTGCCTATCCATATCCCAAACTGTTCTATTGTGGATCTCTCCATGGGAGTTCATCTGCTCATTTGATGCAAACATCTAAATGCTCACTTTCCCTGACTTCTCTTCTTACCTCCCAAACCCTATTTATTCTTTAAGGCCAACCCAAATGCTGCCTTTTCCATAAAAACCCTTCCTGACTTGACTGGAATAATACAGCTGCCCTCTTTTTGAATCTATCACTTAGCTTATGTCACATCCTATTTCACCTAGTGTCATGTGTGCTCTTACCCTGTAGCCTTACAGTAGCACACACCTTTCACTTCTAAGTGACAGTCATACACGTCAGCAGAAAATGGCTATTTATCCCCCGAAAATGCTTTTATCTTGAGTACAATAAGTACTTAAGTCAACTCAAATTATAAAGGAGAAGAGAAAGCAAAAGGAGAAAAACAGGAGAGGAACGTTAATATTTATCAAGATATGAATAATGGCTGCTTATATTTTGAAGAGGATGAATTGCCTCTCCTGCCTGTAATCAACTTGAGGCCAGGTGGTGGAGTCAATGACTCCTTATAGCTTCTGCAACATTCAAAGCTTTGTGAACAAAAGAGCTCATCAAGAATTACTTTTTAGATTGTTGAATTGAATATAAAAGGGTTATCATTAATTTTTTGATAGATAAAAACACAGGAAGGTTAAGCTGGTCCTGGGATTTCTCTTTCCTGGGAATTTCCACTTGCTTTTTAAGGCTCCCCTCCTGGGATCTCTTTGTCCCACTTGAAGTGGGTGGATTCTCTGTCCACGCACAGCTGGACAGAGAAATGCCAGGACAACCTTCTTCACAAATTGAAGGTCTTCAAACTACTTATTCTAACCAACCTTGGTTATTAAACATATAACACGTTAGGATTTTTTTCTACCTTAAATCTACCAACAGAAGGCTGGGTGCGGTGGCTCACGCCTATAATCCCAGCACTTTGGGAGGCCGAGGCGGGCGGATCACGAGGTCAGGAGATCGAGACCATCCTGGCTAACAAGGTGAAACCCAGTCTCTACTAAAAATCCAAAAAAAAAAAAAAAAAATAATAGCCGAGTGTGGTAGCGGGCACCTGTAGTCCCAGCTACTCGGGAGGCTGAGGCAGGAGAATGGCGTGAACCCGGGAGGCAGAGCTTGCAGTGAGCTGAGATCGCGCCACTGCACTCCAACCTGGGCAATACAGCGAGACTCTGTCTCAAAAAAAAAAAAAAAAAAATCTACCAACGGAAGCACTTCTTATTGTGACTTGTCTTTTAAATTATATTAAGGTTATCTTGGCAAAGAAAATCTGAGGGTAGCAGTTTACCATGAACAACTCAGCCACCGATCAGTACATCATCCTGTATTGCTAGTCGCCATTTTCCAAGTGATAGCCATAACCAAATGTTACAGACCTGGGACCTCTACCCTAAATCTATGGGAGGTAAACTAATGGTCAAAGCAAACGTGCTTCAGATAAAGGCTTAGGGTTAGACTTGAGTGCATTTTCTTGCTTCTTAGTTCTTGTCGGATTTTTAGAAAAATAGATCATAATATAGTAAATCTGATTTACCAAATCAGTTCCTTGGAAAACATCAAGAGTTCCACTCATTTCTCTCAGATTATCTATCAAAAAAACACACCTTTGTGACTAAAGCTATTATTTAGATAAAATATGCTTTCCTGGTAAAGATGTATATGAATTTTGTCAGAGACAGATGAGAAAGTACAGCAGGGAAAGTGAAAATGGTGAATATTTACATCCAAATAGCAAGGAGGGAACACTAATGCAGTGAAAATGGCAAGGGACATTAAACATAACAGCAAGGATTTCCGCCCAACTTACCTATAGTACTTAGGTGAGTAATCACGAGCAAAAAAACAGATGACCCAGACAGCCTCACGTGCTGAAAAATTACCTTCACCAAGGCATAAATCTAGGAGTCCAAAAAATGCCAAGTAATATACTATCATAAAACAAGTGATTGTTCTTCATTTATCTGCTGGCTTCTTCTTAAACACCTTCTGAATGCCTGACTTTGTTGAGACACTGCATTAAAGAGCTCAGAGTGTAATGGGTGAAACATATGAGTCAACTGATAATTTCACGAGAAGTTCATGAGTTCTTTGATGCTCATCGAGGGACACCAGGACCCCACATGCTCCTAGTTATTATGCCACAAACATCACTTGGCACTCATTGTTAGTGTTCTTTTCTGGATGTTACTCTACTTTCTGAGGCCCTGTTGGAGTGTTTCAGAATTCAGTCCTCAGACTCACTGTTTTCTAGCTACTCCTCCAGGTGAAGGCATCTAATCCCACAGCTTTCAAAACCATCATGATGCTAGCAGCTTCCAAATTACTTTATCGTATGCCTAAAGGCATCTCAAACCAAATTCTTGATTTCCAAGCCCTCCAAGAAACCCCTCAGTTTCCTCTTTGGTAGTAAAAAGCACCTCCATTTATCCTTCCCAAATTTCACACCCATATACAATACATCAGCAAATCATAATGTAAAGAAGTACATGCAATATCCCACCACTTGTTAACACCTTGGCCTGTACTACCCTATCCGAAGCCACTCTTACCTATGCCAGTACTTCCCAAACTTGAATGTTTGTATAAATCACCTGGAGATAATGTCTGTTCCATGACCACACAAGGAGCTAGAGACTCCTGCAAGCGCTTCCTAATTGTCTTCTTGATTTTATCTCTGCCCACTCTGTCCTCACCAAGTCTACTCATCACACAGTAATCAGAGCAATTGTATTTGCAGTGTAAATCTGATTAAGACCCTCCCCTGCTCAGACACCGTGAGATTTGCTATCTTATTTAGAATAAAATCTAAAGGGACTTAACAGGCCTTCCAAGATCTGCGAAATCTGGGACCTGCTTACCTCTCTATAAATTCTCTTCCTTCCACTCCCCACTCCTCCCTCCAACCCAACCAAATTGATCCCCATGGTGTTTTTCAAAAATGTCAAGCAGGCTCTCACCTCATAGGATGCTACCTATGCCTGGAATGATTTTTCCCCAGACATCCGCATCATCTGCTCAAGCACTTCAAATTCAGCAAACCCAATTTGCACAACAAAATTCGTAAAATATAAATGGCCAGAATTTACCAAGCTAAATAGAATTTCAATTGTTTGAAATGTTAGGTACTTCATATAAGAAATTATAAACTACCATAATCTAAACATAACCTTAAACAATCCCCATTGCTATATTAACAATAATTTATGAAGTGTATAATGCTCAATTTTAAAAAGAATAAATTTTTGTAAATAAAATTTTATTGGAATACTAATGCATGCATTCTTTAAAAGATAATTTACTAAAGTGAAATTCGCATACCATAAAATTAGCTATTTTAAGGTGAAAATTCATTGGTGTTCCGTAAATTTACCGTGTTGTGCAACCATCACTTCTATCTACTTCCAAAATATTCTTATCACCTCAAAAGGGAACATCCCTTAATTACATTAAGTAATTACTCCTGATTTCCCCATCCTCCAATTATTTGCCACCATTTAGTGGGTTGTCAAAAATTGTGAAATTAAATAATTTATATTAGTTTTGCAGGTTTCCTTTTACGCTGCCAAGAACAAGTGGTTATATACGGACCAAAAACTTGAATTTTTTCTACTGAAAAAATCTGCTTCTAATAGATTTGAACCCTAAATGTTATGCTTATCCTTAATAATTACCTTTTAATTGTCATGGTTTTCAAATCCCAAGTGTTACTCAGAAAAGTGAAGACAAATGCAGCAGCTAACGTAATCAACGGTGGTTCCAATTAGAGATGGGCTTTTTGTGTTTTGTTTTGTTTATATTTTTAATTTTTAAGCATTATTTGTTTGACATATAGTAATTGTACAAATTATGGAGTACTTAGTGCCATTTCCATACATATAATATATAGTCATCAGATCAGTGTAATTAGCATATCAATCATCTCAATTGTCCATCTACCATTCTTTGTGTTGGGAACATTCAATATCCTCCTTCTTGCTATTTGAATCTATGTAATGTGCTTTTATTAACTATAGTTATCCTAAAATGGCTTTGAACACTAGAACGTATTCCTCCTACCTAGCTGTAATTTTGTATCCTTTAACAACTCTCTCCCTGTCCCTGCCTTCCCCCTACCCTTCCCAGACTCTTTTTTGACAACTAAATCATGTTTAAAATAATCACCTTATAATTGTTATCATCCACTTTGCAGGGTAGCAAAATGTTTCCAAAATGTTGCCCTACACATTTTATATTTTTATTTTACAGCAAAATGCCTGAGATATTAATCATTGAGAATATAATAATATTAGCTTAGTTTGTTTAACTGCAACTACTATTATAAACAGGATGAAATTAATATTCCACCTGTTGGGAATGCTGTTTCTTGTTTATCAGACTAATTTAACATACTTGTATTCAAATTTTTTTAAGCATAATACCACTGTTTTATTATAGAAAATGTCTTTTTACTTTCTGTATCCAATTCTGTCCATACCAAGTAGTATTACATTAAGACATGTGTTTATTACTGTTGTTATACTTTATAAAAAAGAAGTTCCTGATTCAAATTTTCAGGGTTCAACTACTTCATTTATATGCTATATACCTGTGCCTCTGTGAATTTTTGTCTGTGTGTATGTGTGTGTGACTCTTTGTCATCATCTGAAAAGTTAAAAAAAGAAAAGAATATATAAAACAAAACTCACAAATTAGTGAGACCCTTCCAACCTAAGGGATAGACCAACATCAATCTGATAGACATAGTTGAATGGAAGGTGAATTAATATATCCTTAATACTTGATCTAGCTTTTCTCTTAAGGTTTATAGTCCAGATATATTTTGATCTACTTAAGATTCTCTGGGTCTTCGTATAAAATATTCTACAATGCAGCTGTGATTACTAATAGACCACAGTGAGAAATGAACTGGGAAAATTCTTAAGATCAGAAATAATTTAGGCCCTTAAGGTCCAGATCACCTTGATATTTTAAAAATAGTGTAGGTTAGTGCTTTGTAATTATCTGTCCAAGCAAATTACTATGTGCTTTAAAGGGTGTATTTCAGACTCTGTAACCAAAATATTTAATTGTCATAGCTACTAAGACATTTAAGAATTTATTTTATTTATTTATTTGAGATGGAGTCTCGCTCTGTCACCCAAGCTGGAGTGCAGTGGCATGATCTTGGCTCACTGCAACCTCCGCCTCCTGGGTTTAAGCAATTTTCCTGCCTCAGCCTCCTGAGTAGCTGGGACTAAAGCACCCGCCACCACACCTGGCTAATTTTTGTATTTTTAGTAGAGATGGGGTTTCACCATATTGGCCAGGCTTGTCTCAAACTCCTGACTTCAAGTGATCCACCCGCCTTAGCCTTCCAAAGTGCTGGGGTTACAGTCGTGAGCCACTGCATCTGGCCAAGAATTTATTTTCTTTTAAAACCAAAAATGATTTGATTATATAATATACCCATTTTACTTCCCTGGGATCAGCCTATTTCCACATCTATTAAGTGGACAAATAGAATAAGTACTGTCTCAAAAGACTGTTGTGAAAATTAAAATAAAGCAAAAGTAAAAACACAATAACACATACAATTTCAAGAGAGCACTCATTTATATGACTTTTAATTTTTATCAGTTAGCATTTAACCCAATACTTGACATAAATTATAGGCTTGCCTAATGGCCATTGAATATGATTCACTAATTAACATTTATATTTTATATTAGTTTGAATTCAAGTTGTCTTTGATTTTTGGCACAAATATATTTGCAACATATTAGTATAAGGATGGAAAAATTAAAACTGGTGTCTGATACAAGGAACATTAATATTAAAATGAGAAAGAAAGCCAAAACTCACTCGACTTAAAATATTTATTTTTCTATGTAGAGTGAAGAAGCATCTTTTAGTACTATTGTAAATATTCTTAAAAGATTAATATGTTTTAAAAGATTTAACTGAAACTTTCTAAATATGCTCCCTTAAAAGTTTTAAACTTTGGTATATCTCCAGATCGGATGTATCAGCCTACATAGTCAGCCTGGCAAATTAATCACACGGAGATTATATTAAAATAATCATCTAAAATGCACTTTCTAGGCATTATACATTTTTATACCCAACATTTAGTGTAGCCTGCAGAGGAAGAACTAATCTGTTTAATGAATAAGGCTTTTTATAGTTTGTGCACAAAGCAAAATCAATTTTTCTGAAACTCATTATTATTTAAAACAGGATAGATTCTTGAAAATCTTCATGGCATGTCATCAATGATACAACTTAGTTACTTTTACAGGGAAAAAAAAGCTAACATGTTCTGGGAGACTACAAAGATCAACAAACTCCTTAAATTTTGGCAAAAGATTCAAAGAACTTGTCAAATGAGTTCCTAATTTGAGAGCAGTTATCAGTGCACATTAGATATGACCGAATTCATTTCTCTTCTGAACTAGTAAAGGCCAAATTATGTTGATACCCAGAATATATCATACAGAGTAAAAGTAATGTTACATCTCGGCACATTATTCTTTCAAGGACTCAGACACAGTCAAACTGGGGCTAATGCTTTGATGGTGACTGACTGGAAGCATCTCTAAGCAGAATGTTATTTCAGACACAAAATGGTAACATTAGTGACCTATGTATTCTCTATGGAGGGGAAAAAAATATCCCATGTTTGTGACTCTACTCATTTATACTAAGCCTAAGGGAGGAAATAAAAGACCAAACTAAGAAGAAATGTGATTCCAGCTTCTATTCATTAAATTTGTATGGGCTTTCTTTGCTGCTAGTAGAAGAAAAAAAGTTAGTATGACAGAATGTTTTATCCAACTGAGATCTGCTTAACTTTATATTTTTGCAGTCTATCAAAAGCATCACTAAAAGACAAAATCTTTTCCAAACTGCTTTGATCAGAAAGGGAAAGAGCAGGTTTGCTTTTTGTTTCTGAAATTGTTTCTGGGTGCCACAGAGTAAAATGCTTGACCAAATCATGTGAACAACACTAATGTGGATTGCAGTGCCTGATACTTTAATCAGAGGCAGGGTAACAATTAACCTCATCCTCTTCATCTGCGAACAAAATCTTTACATACAAATAAATAATGCAAGTAAGAGGGCAGAAGGGTTAGAAAGACTGAAAAATGCAATGTAGATAATGAAGCCTACAATGATTATGTAATTGCAAAGGACTTTTATCTAATACAAAAATTCACAATCTACTTGGCAAGACATTGAAGAAGTTCTTTAATTCTCAAACTTGAGTCTCTTGTTTATAAGGATGTGTTACTAATGATGTTGAGACTGTATATTAATTTGCAATTTACATCCAACTAGAACAAACCACATACTAGTCATGTTGCCCAATTAGTACCTACATGCTGAAGAAAACACCACGGGGACTTTGGTTCACCTTCTTGGGCCCAAAATACAAGGTCCTTTTTTGTATCCTTCACAAGAGAGTGTTTTCCAAACTATGGTATATTAAAAAACATTATGCCAGAGGAAATAGTTCCATGGTGAAAAATGTTGTGCAGTAGGGAATAAACTGTCAAGGGGCTTTAAAACTGTAGGACATCTCAGGATCTTTACTTGGGGAAGGCATTGTGCATCCTGCAAAACAGAACCTGAAGCTTTGCCCACACTGGTTTACTCCTGGGACTTTGCTTTTGCATAGTCCATCTCAGGATGACTCATGTTTCATAAAAACACTGGAAAGCCTGCCCTGCTGTCTTCCCCAGCAAGCTTTTGGGAGGACTCAGTCACTCAGAGCATTTACTACTTTCATATAATCACCTCTCATTGGAGTGAGCCTGGAGTGCATTGAAGACTTGTGTTATGATTATGAAACTAATAAAGATCAAAGCTTGCAGGCTGCAGAATGCCATGGATTAGAATTCTACAGTAGCAAGTGCACCATTTCTAAAGATGAAGAAAGGAAGACCTTCCATACTGGCTAGCACGTTTGTTCGATTGGGCATGATATAGGAAGCATTAGACTCGATGTTGGGGCTTCCCGGGAAGGGGAAGGGGAGATTGCTTCTCATGCCCTCTCATGACAAAAATAACAACTGAGAGACCATTTCTTTGGTCACTGTGATACTGAAGACTTGGGGCTAAAATCATTTCTCTCACCACATGTTTTATGATAGGGCTATGCATTTCACATTAGACAGTATTTGCTAATGCATTTGTAATATCTTGCAACATCAGGAAGATAACTTAAAAAAATCTCACCACAAAACTTGAAGATGGTCAAGCATGAAGACATTATTTCTTTCTGACCCAGTCATGTTAGCAGAAATAATCCCAAACTTAGACCGTTTATTTCATCTAATGCAATGTAAGGTCATTTCATAAGTTAGTTCACTATTAAAGAATTTATTTTGTTCATACATACTTCTATAAAACTTTAGTGTGGAGTCTTACTTGGTTCAGTTTGATGCTTCTGTAAATCCTCTCCCCTACATGTTCAAAAAGAACATCAATAAATGACTAAGATTTAATATCTTTAAAATTTTGACACTTCTTAGCTACAGTTCTTATCACCAGTGGAACATGTAGGATAAGAAATTAGTTTTGATTTATCATTTATGTATGACCAATCAACCGAATGGATACATTGAAAGTATTAACAAAGATGATAACATAACAAACTTATAGAAATAAACATACCTAGTTCATGACATTTTTATTTAGAAATTATATGACTAAATGTATCTACATAATGCTATACACTATCCAAAAATTTCAACAGAGCAATGCCTGAACTTTTCACAGCAAGTAAATTCAAACTATGGAACTAAAACCCATGTAGAAAACTTATGGTAGATTCAGTTTCCATTTTCTGTCCATTCTTTTTGTCCTTTTTTCTCACTTCTTTCCTCATTGTCATCCTAATCCAGTAAAACATAGGTTCATGTATTCATTTATTCCACCCAAATTTATTCATACGCTACTTTAGACACTGGGGCAACAGAGATGCACTTTCTACACTTGGGGACATAAAAGGCAAAAATATCATTCCCTGGAACCCCTCACATCACAGGGAAACTGTCACCCATGGTCTTGCAGACACTTACAGATCAGGTAAATATGAGAATAGGGATTTTAAAGCATGGAGAAGTCAACAGTAGTGCCACTTCAGTTTTCCTGGGAGCACCCGAAGTGTTCTCTACTTGCCTACTGATTTCTTAATGGCTAGGAAGGATCTGGGCAATTATATACAGGAAACAAGTATTAATTCATTCAGCTTTACACTTGCCCATTTATGCTTTACTGCACTACTTGCCTAATCACTCAGATTAGATGCTTAAAGAAGTGCATGAATGTAAATGGACATCATAGATGTCAAATTTGGTGTGTTTCATTCTTCAACCCTTCACCTTCTCTTTAAAACTTAATGAAAAAAAAATGAACTGCAGTTCTCTGACTACAAAGTACTTTGATCTACAGTGATTTACTTAGCAACAGTTCAGCTTCATTTGTGTGACACTAAAAGCAGTCATTCCATAAAGCTTTCTTAATCAAGTAGTCCAGCAGCTTTCAATAAAGAGATTAACTACGGAATTTTAAAAGGGCATGCTGGTCAGTCCATTCTTATAAATTCCACATGAACCAGTCTTGCAAACTATGGTGAACTTTTCTTTACCTCACTGAAGAATTCTGTTACACACTTCAGATCTCAGCAAACATGCTGGAGAAATGCACAGTAAGCTTTTTATTCTTTAAGATATCTTGTACCAGAACATCACTTTAAAGCCAAACAAGACGTGGTAAAATTTAATAAAAAATAGGTTTATCATAAACATCATCTTTAAAAGTTTTGTGGTGAAAATACCAAAGAAAATCCATCATCAGCTAATTTTACCAACAAAATGGCCCTATTGCATGCATTATGCATTCATTGGGGTTTTATTTTTGTGTGGGTGTATGAAACTCCAATGAATGACTCTGTTCCTTTTCTTTCAAAAGTTATGCAAATACATTACAAAATATATTACTATTCTTAATTTTGATGTGGGAAAGAGTATGTGCATGCAGTTTTTTAATTTTTAATTTTTTTTCATTCATTTAGAGTTTTTTTCCATGTGTTTGGTATGAGATGCTGTTTACTCGGGATGCAGATAGGCTCAAGCCCCCTGCTATACTCAAAATATAATACTACAATAGCAACAGCAATACTGATATCATCAACAACAAAAATAACCATAGTAACAAGTATACATGCCAGGTACTTGCTAGCTTCACATGTGTTATCTCACTGAATCCTTTTAACAACCCTGTGAAACAGTTTGTCTTTCAATTTGGTGGTGATCATCATAAGCCCCAGAGAGACTAAAGGGCTTTTCTAAAGTCACACAAGTAGAAGACTGATAAGGCAAGGAGCTGAGAATCCAGGTCTGACTCCAGACAGGATGTTCTGAAATCCAGCAAGCCCTCAACATTTTAATCACATACCCTTCTCAATGAAATCATCTTGAGCATTCAGTATCAGTGGATGCATTTTTATAATTCTGTTCTTCTCTTACTAGGCTAATATTTCATACACATTTTTAAAGCATATAAAAATAGGAATAAAAAAGCATGACATCAACATAAATAGAAAGAATTACCTTATGCATTCTCCACTGAGGCATATTGCCTCTAGTTTAAAAAAAAGTAGGGGTCTTCATTACCTTTCCTAAATTCCCTAGAAAATAGGCTTTTGTGATAAGTGAAAGGCTTTTATAAGTTTACCATTAGCACTGAGAAAGTAAAGATGACAATTATTAGCAATCCTGAGTGAGGCTGCTGGTCACTCGACTCATTCATCTCAAAGTCCCTGGTGGTAACCAGAAGAGCAATGAGGTGAAAATATCGCACAAAAGGCTCAGGGATTGTCAACCTTTTACAGTCAAAGCAATTATTGAATTAAATACTCCTATTCAATAGTGGAAATAGGACACGGGAACAGAACCAAAAATGGATGGAGCAGGCTGTAGAAAGAATAAACCACAATATGGATGAAGAGAGCAGGGTTATAGAGGAGGAAATGGGGCTCAGAAACGATGTAGCCTACTTTATTGATGAAACCAGAGACCTGGAAAATAGGGGCTGTCAGGCTAATCTTAGATTAACTGGCTGCCCTCAAGAGAGATAAGGAAGAAAACACTGACAGGTTTTGGAGAATTCAAAGGGAAACAATATAATCCAAGAAAAAGCCTGCCTTGGGATATGACAAGTCTACTAGGTTCTCTGGAGGCAGCCATGCTGAAGCTATACCTGGCCTCTTCTGGCCCTGCCCACTTGCAGGAAATGTCCCTCTTTGTGTTTATTTTCCACTCAGAAAACAAAGAGGCGGGGCCAGTTTGACCACAGAAGAACAGCAAAGATGAAAAGGCTAGAATGGCCTTGATGGCAGCATGATCCCTTTAGGGCTGGGAAGTAGGAAGTGGAGGAGGTGGGTTATTTCCACATTTTTCCCTGAAATGATTTCTTTTACTGTTGCTCATGTTTAGATGATAGCTGGATATCAAAATTTCAGTTAAAGTCATCAAATCCCAACTGGCACCATCCTACTTGTAAGGCACCCTGTTGACACTAAAGGAAATTTGAAGAGGTGACGTGGATATATAGCAAGGATGAGAAGTTAGAAGTGAAATATCCAAAGAGAGGAAGAAAGAAAATATGAGTAGATCAAAGGATGGAGCATTAGGTAAGCATTTGCAATGAGCATAATTTGTGACAGGTGGGGATTAGAGGAGTATAAAGGTAATTCCAAACAGAAAGAACCCAAGGAGCAAAGCTGCAAAGGGTAGAAAATAAGGATGTGTTAAAGAAACGTCAGGTAGTCTAATTCAACGGGCAAAGAGAGGTCTTCTCAGAGACTAAGGAATGACAATTCTATAGGAGATATTGTAGAGGCATTAAAAGGGTCTTCATATGCTGGGCTAACTAGTTGGAGGGCAATGGAAAAGGAATCTTTGAGTAATAAAATAAACATGATGCAAAAGGGGAAATAAATGCAAGAAAGGAATGTGTTGGCTTTTGAAACTATCTAAATACATTCATAACAGGCAGGTAACAGTTCTAGAATAATGGCTACTCATGTTGCTACTAATTAACAATGTTACTGGTGAGTATCTGGGGTACCATAAACCAGTTATGAAATACTGGGCCTTTGCAATAAGAAATTTCAATGCTCACAGGCTCGATGGTCTCTGGCCAAGAGCTGAACAGATGGGACCCTCTCTGCAAGCACAAGGAACGTATGGGACTCAGCCAATCCAAATGAATGTGTTAAACTTGATCCATATACTATATCTCCTTGAGTTTGCCAGCCAAATTATTCCGGGTTATGTAAATGAACTGTCTTATCTTTGTGAAACCTTGCACTGTTTTGGAAAGCTAAGCAAATGTACAGACATTCAGGTTAAATGCTGGCCAGTGGTGGGGGGCGGGGGTTGTCATTATTTCCCATTACTAAGGAACAACAAATACCACATCTATTTATTTATATATTTAGTGCATTGAGTAAAGATAAGAGAGACCTGCAAAAGAAAAAATATCCAGTGTGTATCAATGACTGAATTTGTGTCTACATTTGGGATAGGAAAAGTGATAAGACATTTTTAATATTCCCAGCACAAATTTCCTTCCTGTGTGGTTGTACTTCCAAGTGACAATATCATATCATAAACTCCAATGTCCATTTATATAAAACAATAGCATTGATAATTCCAGAAACAGAATTTAGTAGGACTTTTCCTTAACTCCTTGCCATTATATTTAAGTTCCATCCTTATTTCCTCTCTTCCTGCTGCAATGTGTCATCCAGTCCCCCTCAGTAAGACCTGCCAATGCTAATGCCAACACGTATCTCAAATCCACTCATTTCTCTTCACGACTGTTATCACTATACTAGTCCAACCCACCATCGTTTCTCTCCTAGCTTACTTCCAATAACTCCTATTGGTAAGGTTTGGCTGTTCCCCCACCCAAGTCTCATCTTGAATGGTAGCTCCCATAATCCCCACATGTCGTGGGAGGGACCTGATGGGAGGTAATTGAACCATGGGGGAGGGTTTTTCCCATGCTGTTCTCATGATAGTGAGTAAGTCTTATGAGATCTCATGGTTTCATAAAGGGCAGTTCTCCTGCATACACTCTCTTGCCTGCCGCCATGTAAGACATGGGTTTGCTCCTCCTTCACCTTCTGCCATGATTGTGAGGCCTCCCCAGCCATGTGGAACTGTGAATCCATTAAACCTCTTCTTCTTTTAATTACCCAATCTCAGGTATTTCTTCATAGCAGTATAAAAATGGACTAATACACCTATGTTCTCCCAGTCTTCTATGGGTCTCCCAGTTTAACCCTGTGTCCCTAAGAACCTACATCAAAAATCTGCCCAACTCAATCCTAACCTCTCACCTTATAACAAAAGTATTCAGCACTTTGGGAGGCCGAGGTGGGTGATTCACGAGGTCAGGAGATTGAGACCATCCTGGCTAACACGGTGAAACCCTGTCTCTACTAAAAATACAAAAAAATTAGGTGGGTGTGGTGCTGGACACCTGGAGTCCCAGCTACTCAGTGAGCCAAAATTGGGCCACTGTACTCCAGCCTGGGCAACCGAGTGAGACTCCATCTTAAAAAAAAAAAAAGAAAGAAAAAAAAAGTTAACTCAAGATGGATCAATGACTTAAATTAAAACCTGATACCATAAAAATTCTAGAAGATAACATCAGAAAAAAATCTTCTGGACATTCGCTTAGGCAAATAAATAATGACTAAGACGCCAAAAACAAATGCAAAAACACAAAAATAAATAAATGGGACCTAATTAAACTAAAAAGCGTCTGCTCAGCAAAAAAAAGAAAAAAAAAAAAAGCAGCGGAGTAAACAGACAATATTTGCAAACTATGCATCTGACAAAGGACTAGTATCCAGAATCTACAAGGAACTCAAGCAAATCAGCAAGAATAAAACAAATAACTCCATCAAAAAGTGGGCAAAGGACATGAATAGATATTTCTCAAAAGAGGATGTACACAGCCATCAAACTTAGGAAAAAATGCTCAACATCACTAATCATCAGGGATATGCAAATTAAAACCACAATGAGATACCACCTTACTCGTGCAAGAATGGACATTATTAAAAAGTCAAAAAACAATAGATGTTGGCATGGATGTGGTGAAAGGGAACACTTAAACACTGCTGGTGAGAATGTAAACTAGTACAACCACTATGGAAAACAGTATGGAAATTCCTTAAAGAACAAAAAGTAGAACTACCATTCAATCCAGTGATCCCA
The DNA here is from genome assembly GCF_000001405.40 of Homo sapiens. Lineage (NCBI taxonomy): Eukaryota > Metazoa > Chordata > Mammalia > Primates > Hominidae > Homo > Homo sapiens. The sequence continues at coordinate 93,341,268 of NC_000013.11, read as the reverse complement.
CTACTGGGTAGCTACCCAAAAGAAGTCATTATATGAAAAAGACACATGCACACATATGTTTATAGCACACAATTCGCAATTGTAAAATATGGAACCAATCTAAAAGCCCATCAACTAACAAGTGGATAAAGAAAATGTGCTATATATACACCATGGAATACTGCTCAGCTATAAAAACGAATGAAATAATGTATTTTGCAGCAACTTGGATGGAGCTGGAGGCCATTATTTTAAGTGAAGTAACTCAGGAATGAATAACCAAATATTGAATGTTCTCATAAGTCGGAGCTAAGGTATGAGGTTGCAAAGGACTCCAGGGGGAAATTTGGAAGGGGGTTGAGAGATAAAAGAGTATATATCGGGTACAGTATATAGTACTCCGGTGGTAGGTGCACTAAAATTTCAGAAATCACCACTAAAGAACTTATCCATGTAGTCAAAAACCACCTGTAGCCCCAAAACTATTGAAATAAAAAAAATAAAAATAAATCTTCACGATGGTTCATAAGTCTTCTTCGCTATGGTCCATAAGGGTATCATGATGAGGCCTATAGGCCTCCAACCTTATCCCCAAACTCCAGCTGCCATTCTTCTGCAGCTCACCTGACCCTATCTTCCTTGAGCATACCAAGCTCTCTCCCACTTAAGGACCTTTGTGCTTCCTTCCATCAGCTGAAATGATCAGCACCTTGCATGGCTGCCTCCTCATCCCATCCCTCACTTCCTCACTGCGGATCTTTAGCACAGTACTCTGTACACTTATTTCACTTATGATTATCCAAAATTACTTTCTTTTATTTATTCAATTATCTATTGTCTGTGTTTCTCAGTTAAAATACAAGACCTATAAAAGTGTGGACTTTGTCCCTAATATTGTATCTCAAGAGCCTTGAAAATGCGCAACACATAACAGGTATTTAAAAAGAAAACTTTTGGGCCGGGCACGGTGGCTCACGCCTATAATCCCAGCACTTTGGGAGGCCGAGGCGGGCAGATCACGAGGTCAGGAGATCCAGACCAACCTGGCTAACACGGTGAAACCCCGTCTCTACTAAAAATACAAAAAATTAGCCGGGCATGGTGGCGGGCGCCTGTAGTCCCAGCTACTCTGGAGGCTGAGGCAGGAGAATGGCATGAACCTGGCAGCGGAGCTTGCAGTGAGCCGAGATCGCGCCACTGCACTCCAGCCTGGGTGACCGAGCAAGACTCCGTCTCAAAAAAAAAAAAAAAAAAAAAAAAAAAGAAAGAAAACTTTTGTTTTTGTTTTTGAATGGATTATTATTAACTAAACCATACATTAGCACACTTATACAATAAACATTGTGCCTGATTGTAATGTGCCTAATTCTAGTTTTCCCACAGGTATTTTAATACGATGACTCATTTATCCATTTAGATTAATACTCCTTTCAAAAGTAATTTTCTTAAACTCCCAACTTCATAAGTTATAAAAAGCAGAGCTTTTTTGATGTAAGCCTGTATTTCACAAAACATTATTGCTTTTGAGTGTGCAGGACATTCTGGTAGTCATTTTAAGCCCGGGAAGCCGTTGGCACTAACAAGCAATACAAACAAGCATGAGTGTACAACTTGCAAAACCATTTTATTGAACATTATGCAAAACTGACCAATCTTACATGCACTAAAATTCATTCCACCCCTTACGACCAATTCACTGTCAGTTCCTAACCTCAGTGTAGACCTGGGGGCTCATGCATTCAACAATTATTGACTAAGTCACTATTGTGCACCAAGCACTGTCCATGGGACTGAGGACTCAACAAGAAATAAAGTCAGTGCTGACCTGACTGGAGCTTCTGAGATACTCAGGGGAAAGATAATAAATGAGCACTTGATGGCAAGTATACGTGGTGCTTTTTTTTTTTTTTTTAATAGATGATGGTGTTTATTTCTACACACAGAAAATACAGAGAAGGAGAGCCATGATCATGAGAGGTTTTCAAAATATGGAATATAAGAAATTGTGGCATGACCCAATCTATGTATGCAAGAATAATCAGTAGGAATATTAAGATGGCTCCAGATATTTTAAAGACCATCAGATAGAGGAGGAACAAATTTGTTCTGTATTTGCTTAAAGATGAGAACTAGGAACTAGTGACCATAATGAGTCACTCTGCTAGGTATACAGAGGAATTGTCAAAGGAATCCCAAAGTGTAATGGGCTATTTCCAAATGATTGTGAGCAAGCCTTTCATCACTGGAAACGTTCAAGATTAGAGCAGTGGTTCTCATCTTTGGGGCGTAAATGCTTTGACATCACCCAGCAAGTTTTAAGCTCTAAAAAACAGCACCAAGAATAGATGGGCTAGTTCCTCCAATTGCTCTCTCTGCCCTGTCAACACCACCTCCACATCAATTTCAGAACCACTGAGGGAGCAGGAAGATGGAGGTAGCCCATTCCCATAGTTAATCTCATGCTTTAAAAAAATATATTGATATAGTAAAATATTGGATGATATCTAATTCCTAATGGGGAATGTAAAATGCATTAAATAATAACATGTTAATAAAATTCAGAGGTAATCATTCATGGACAGCCACTAATGATGGTGATTAAGGAAGATGACTTTAGTTCAAACAAGCAAATGATTAAGCTTGAGAGTATAAAATGTTAAAGGGCCCTAATTAATAAAGTACCACATTTTTCTTCTCAGCCTACTTTCTAGAACATAAATATGTGAATCATCCTTCTAAGATACAGATGAATGACTTTTATATTCTAAAATCCAGCAAAGGCAGAAATCACTGCCTGAAAAACAGTGGAATTTCAAAAGGTCTACTGGAAATGGGTCAGAGATACCTGTAAGGAGACTCAGCGAGGGCACTAATCAGAACAAGATGTGGAGAAACTGATTAGGAAGAAGAGAAAATCCAAACTTCCTGATTTTCTGGTCTGGCTGCCTGTCATAAATTTCAGTTCCATGTGAATCTTGTGGAATAAATTATTATTACAGCTGTAATTCATCCTTAAGATCTACCTTTTCATTCTTCCTTTAGATCCACTCAGTCATCAGCTGCTGGTGAATTACAATGCCCATATTCAACTCACCGGGGATAATGACTTTGCAGTGGAAATCACTCGTTTTGTTACTTGCTGATTTATAGGTATAGAAGAGAAAAGGAAGAAGAAAACATGAATCCAAATTCCTAAAATCAGTAGCTTCCTCGTGATGTTATAAAATATTAAAGTTTAATTTAGCGAAAAATGAACAAACAAAAAAGGGTAATAGGGAGGCCTTTCCAAAGGGGTTCTCTACAGTTATTAAGGGTAGCAACTGAAATTTAATTCCGCTGAGAATTTCACTCCATCTGAGGTTGCGGGCTGCAATAGTGTGTGGGGAGATGAAAGATCCATGAAGAAAAAGAGGGAAAACAGAACCTATAAACTTCCACTCTTCCTGCTCCAAACTGTTCTCCATTTTCAGCCTTGGAAAACATAACCAGAAGGGTAGTGGAAACCCTGTGATCCTAAACTTCATTTATAAAAGAATTCGTTCTCTTTGTTAGCTGCAACATAAGCATCTCCACCAGAAAGGCAGGCATTCCGTTTGTGTGCTCCCTTTAGTGTCAAGGATGTATTTGATGTCATTTCAGTCGACTTGATGCATTAGTTTTAGTTAAGAGCATATATTTTGGAATCAGAATATCTGCATTCTTATAGAGCCTCTACCATATCCTGTCTATATGGCCTTAGACAAATTATTGAATATCTCGTGCCTCTGATTTTTTTCTTTTTTTTTTACCTTTAAGTGAGGACAATGGCACTTAATAAGTAGGACTGTTGTGAAAATTAAATGAGTAGATACATATAAAGCAGTCAGAACAGAGCCTGGCACACAATAAGTACAATGTATGTGTTAACTAGTTGCAATAGTGGAACTGGAAGACTAGTAGTAGGTAGCATATCAAGTTGTATAAAACCTTGAGCCAAATATGGGAATCTCATAATAAACCTTCATAGAGTTATCATTCTTAGCCTCTATAATACACTCATGGCTAATGTAATGCACAGAAAATCAAGCTAAACAAACTCAATAATTTCACAGCAAGTAGGTATATCTATTTTACTTCTGGGATAGAGTGAATGGTTGAATCAGCATAACTCCACAGTTTTTAATTGAAGAATTTTACCATTAATGGCCACTGGAACAGGACACTGACTATACTTTTCAGCTAATGGGATGGCTCCAGAGACCACACTGGATGTTGCACAAACAACTGATGTGTGTTTTGGCATCATTAAAATAAAAGTTAACATGTTAAATACGGCAGAAAATCTTTGCATTGAAGGAGCTTTGACAGCATTTGTCAGCTTGAACATTTTATGGCAGCAGCACAGCTTGTTAACAGGCAATGAAAGACGGCTCTATTAAGCTCAGGGTGGTGCTGAAATTGTTTCATACAGCCCATACTCATTTTCCCTACCACCAAGTGAGGATGCCCATCGAGAAAGGCCATCACATACAGGAGGTCTCTGCAAGTCATCGGTATTAATTGTAATGAGGAAGACATTTTATTGCCACCCGGTGTCACAGTCTACCTAGTAACCCTCACAGCTGTTTTGATTAATACATGGACTTACATTAAAAAGAACTTGTGCTGCAATGTTACCTAACAGAGCTTCCTTTTTAAATTCCAAATAAAACAACGCTTCCTACAAATTGAGGATGGACTGCATTGAAATCCATGGTTCAGAATTCAAAAGCCAACCTTGAAGGAGGAGAATGGATAAAAGCACCCTGCCTTTCTGGAGTTAACAGGTCATCATTTTCAGCAATAATCACTTCTTTTAATTAAAGCTTATTAATTTTTGGTGCTAAGTGAAACTCTGAACTACTGGAAGACATCCAAATCTGGGGGAACAATTATTGCTCCTAGGAATATTATTATATAAGGGGAACCCTACCAGGGGAAGACAAAGAGAAACATCTGCAGGTGGAAGAAAGTCTCATCCAATATAATAATATGGTATGTCAAACACATTATCTGCAAAAACTTTTTACTCCACACATTTTACACAACGCTTCTACCAAAAGTATCCACATAATCCAAACTTTTCCCAACAAATAACTTGATAAAATTCCAAGTGCAGAACAAGTTTGATTTTACAAGCCAACAACAGTTTATCTGTTGATAAACAGTGTTAAACACTTTTTTATGATGATGTGAAGTGACTTCAGCATAATTAGATTTTGATGGATAACTATAAAATCTTATTATTTAGAGGAAGATTTAAATCTTTTTCATCATCAATTAACATTTTGTAAGCACACATTAAGTGCAAGGCACTGTATTATATGTTTTGTGCCTATTCTTAGGATAATAATTTCTCACTTTTTCCATAATAGAACTACAAGGCAGTCTAAAAGATTTGTTTGCTGATAAGTAATCAGAACAAATATAAAGTAGTAGAAAGTTCCAGGAAGCAAAAAATGCACATATGCTATAGGAAATGGCAGGCTTATTCAAAGGCAAAGGTCAGAAACTCAAATGCCCACAGGAACTTGGAAGGTCAGCAGGTACAAATTGGGCTGGGTATAATACTAGACAGAGGCAGGAAATCTCCCAAGGACTCAATCTGCAAGGCCTATCTAAGTCATTCACGTTAGATAAGCTGACAATTATAAAAGAGGTCAGAGGACCTATTTGGCCTACAGTCCCCCAATCTTTACCATTATCACTCCTGAGAGGTAGGGGGCAGGAGCATTGATTCTGAGTTCAATAAACCTGAATTTGAAGCTCGTCTCTATTAGATATCACTTCTGTGATCTTTTACAAGTTATTTAGTCTTCCTAAGTTTCAGGTTCCTCCTCTTCAAACTAAGGATGGTAACACGTTTGCCTTGAAAATGTTGTTGGGATACCCAAATGAAACACCGTGAATGAAAGAACTTGGTAAACTGTAAAAGACTTCAATGATGTGAGGTGTATTATTATGATAATAAACTAGAGAATTATATATAGTCAGCATCAACTAAGTATTAACTATTGTGTTAGCTATTTGTTATATTCTATAACGTAACAGGTATTTTTACGGCATACAACACACATTTCAGAAAGGATAATTGCATACAGAACTAACTATAATTACCTAGAGACACCTGCCTTCTAAATAATTAGCTATGCCACTGACATGGGGAATGGAAGTGATAATAAACTTGAGGAATGATTTTCAAGATGCATCAACAGTTGGAAGAAACATTGCCCTGTGGAGGAAAGGGAGAAATCTGTGGGACTAATTATTCATTTATTGTTGGCAATTATATTTATTTGAGGTGTCAAATGACATTAAAGTAAAATACATAATTTTCAAAGTTAATATCTGAAAATATTATAAGACTCATAAATTATGTTAAAGGTTGGAATTAATTTTCTGTGCAAGTCTTTTACAAAAATTCATAAACATTTATTAAAAGACATTTTAAAATATAAATAAATAATGACTTCATAGGTAAGTTTTCAGTGAAGAAGAATCAATAGGCCAGGCACAGTGGCTCACGCCTGCAATCGCAACACTTTGGGAGGCTGAGGCAGGCGAATCACCTGAGGTCAGGGGTTCGAGACTATCCCAGCCAAGATGGTGAAACCCTGTCTCTAGCAAAATTATAAAAATTAGCTGGGCATGCTGGCACACACCTATAATCCCAACTACTTGGTAGGCTGAGTGAGGCAGGGGAATCGCTTGAACCCAGGAGGCACAGGTTGCAGGGAGCTGAGATTGTACCACTGCACTCCAGTCTGGGCAACAGAGTGAGACTCTGTCTCAAAAAATAAATAAATAAGAAGAATCAATGTCAGAATGAAGTTGATTCTCCCCCAAATTATTATATAGATTCAATATAATCCTAAACAAAATCTTAGCAGGGGTTTTCTTGGACTTTGATTAGTCAATTCTATGATGTATATTGAAGAGTAAAGGGCCATGAAAAACCAGGACACTCCAGAAGAAGAACAAGGTAAGATTTTTATACAGAACTATAGTAATTAAAATTATGTCCTTTTGCTACACATTCAGATAAAAAGACAAATAGAACAGAATCCAGAAACAAACAGGCATATATAAGAAAACTTTATTACAGAGCAGGCATTACAGATGGGTAGGGAACAGATGGACTAATCAATAAAGAGTAATGAAAATTTGTTGTCTATATAGAAATAAATGAAAATGGATCTTGACTTCATAAACAATGTAAAAAGTCATAATTAAATATACTTGTGAACTTATGACAGGGAAGAATTTCCTAATCTATATGCACAAAAAACATGTATTAGAAAAGAAACACACTGCAGTCAACATGATCTTATATTTTAAAAAACCTAAAGACTACACCAAAAAACAGATAGAACTGATAAATTCAGTAAAGTTGAGGGATACAAAATCAACATAGAAAAATCAGTAGCGTTTGGTGGCTTGGCACACTGGCTCATGCCTGTAATCTAAGCACTTTGGGCGGCTGAGGTGGGCAGATCATTTGAGCCCAGGAGTCTGAGGCCAGCCTGGGCAACATGGTGAAACCCTGTCTCTACAAAAAATAGAGAAATGTAACTGGGAATGGTGGCACATGCCTTTGGTCCCAGCTACAATACTTGGGAGGCTGAGGTGGGAGGATCACTTGAGCCAGGAGGTAGAGGTGGCAGTGAGCTGAGATTGTACCAACGCACTCCAGCCTGGGCAAGAGAGTAAAACCCTGTCTCAAAAAAAAAAAAAAAAAAATTCAATAGCATTTTTATATGCCAACAGCAAACAATCTGAAAAGAAAATCAGAAAAGCAATCCCATTTACAATAGTTACAAAAAAAATCAAATAACTAGTAATATATTCAACCAAAGAGATGAAACATCTACAATGAAAATTACAAAACACTGATGAAAGAAGTTAAAGATAACAACAAAAGAATACAAGGATATTATGTGTTCATGGAATGGAGAAATTAATACCATTAAAATATCCATTCTACCTACCCAAAGTGATCTACAGATTCAATGCAATCCCTAACAAAATACCAAGGACACTCTTCATAGAAACACAGAAAAAAAGTCCTAAAATGCATACAGAATCATAAGACTTCAAATAGCCAAAGTAATCCTGAACAAAAGAATCTGGAGACATCACACTACCTGAATTCGAAATATACTACAAAGCGATCACAACCAAAACATGATGGCACTGGCATAAAAACAGACACATAGATCAATGGAACAGAATTGTGAACCCAGAGATAAATCCACACATTTACAGCCAACTCATTATCAACAAATGCATTAAGAAAATACATTGAGGTAACAACAGTCTTTTCAATAAATAGTTCTGGGAACACTGGATATCTATATGCAAAAGAATGAAACCCCCATGTCTCTCACTGAATACAAAAATCAAACCAAAATGAATTAAATAAATACTTCAGTGTAAGGCCTGAAACTATGAAGCTACCGAAACAAACAAACAAACAAAACACTTCAGGACATAAATTTTTGAGGTAAGATCTCAAAAGCACAGGTAACCAAAGCAAAATTGACAAATGGAATTATATCAAGCTAAAAATCTTCTGCACAGCAAAGGAAACAGTCAACAGAATGAAGAGATAACCTACAGAATGGGAGAAAATATTTGCAAACTATCCATTTGACAAGAGATTAATAACAAGAATATATATGGAATCCAAACCACTCAATAGCAAAAACATAAATACTCCAATTTTTTAAATGGGCAAATGATCAGAACAGACATTTCTCAAAAGACATAAAAATGGCCAGCAAGTATATGAAAATATTTTCAACATCACTAATCATCACGGAAATGCAAATCAAAATCACAATGAGCAAATCTCACCCCAGTTAAAATGGCTATTATTAAAAAGACAAAAGATAAACACTGGCAAGGGAGCAGAGGAAAGAGAATTCCTACACACTGTTGCGTGGGAATGTAAGATAGCACAGTCATTATGGAAAACAGCTACAGAGGTTTCGCAAAAAAAAAAAAAAAAGAAAAACAGAAATACCATATTATTTAGCAATCCTATTGCTGGGTATGGATCCAAAAGAAAGGAAATCCACCTGTTGAAGAAATATCTGCATTCCCATGTTTATTGTTGCACTATTCACTACGGCTAAAATATGGAATCAACCAAGTGTTCATTAACGAATAAATGAATAAAGAAAATGTGGTATCTATACACAATGGGATATTATTCAGTCTTAAAAAAGAATGAACTCATGTCATTTGCAAAAGGGATGATCTGGAGGACATCATGTTAAGTGAAATAAGCCAGGCAGAGAAAGACAAATATTGCATGTTATCACTTATATATGGGAGCTATAAAAATGGATGTCATAGAGGTAGAGAGTAGGATGTTGCTTACCAGAGGTTGGGGAGAGTAGAGGGGAGAAGTGATAAAGAAAGGTTGGCTAATAGGTACAAAAATACAGTTAGATAGAATGAATAAGTTCTAGTGTTCATTAGTGCAGTAGGGTGACTACAGTTAACCATTAACAGAGCATATTTTGAAGCAGCAGGGTAAACTGATAGAGTTTACCCCAGGTGGTAAAGGACAAATAATATGAGTTACAACTCCATTCCTTCATGAAATTTAACAACAAATGACAGAAAAAAAAAGATGAAAAAACAATGTTTCAGGGGAAAATACGTTTTAAAATATCTTCCATATTAGAAAAATATCAATTCTCCAGATATGCATATGCTTATATAAGATAAAAAACAAATATACTTGCTCCAAAAGGTGATAAAAAGCAATTGATATTTCTCAGGTAAACTATATCCATAGCTAACCTTTCTCAAGTTGATGAATCATACTCTACCACGCTTCTTAAGAAAGAGAGCCAAAGGGCATCATTTTTTAAAAACACGTATCTAGAAATATAATAGAAAAAGGAAAATTTCAATTTGGAAGATGTCAGTGAGAATGGATAATTTTCATTTACACAAAAGATAAGTACAATTCCTTTCGAAGGACAGAAATGATGGATATATAATTAAACTTGGCTACTTAGTACCTGATAAAAATGTAGTATGAGTATTTTTAGCAAGAAAGAAAAAAGGAGGAAGAGAGAAGAAAGGAACTTCAAAGTACACCTCTTATCATTAGCAGAACACAACATCCTAGAGAATAAAAAATAAGACTGAAACAAAGCCAAAAAATCCAATCCCCAAATAGAGCCCCCAAAGACCTCCTGGAAATACAGTGAGCATATGAATCCCATCAAATAGTTATCAGTGCTACATTCATCTGTCCATTAAGCAAACATGATTACTTCCCCTTTACCTTTATGGTGAGGCTTATGATAATCAGGCTAATTCCAAAAGTCTATAGCCAAAAAAAGTGATAGAACTGTAAGAAGATATGATGTTAGGATGCAAAATTTTATTTGCATGTCAATCATTTTGTTGGGATTTGCGTATGATTAGAAATAAAAGATTATATCTATATGTTGAAAGAAAGAAGCCAGCAGAGATGGAAGAATGAAAGATGCAAGAGAATTTTTCATTGATAAAGCAAATGCTGGAATGAGGAAGTGGAAGGCAATAGAATCGAGATCAGCCACTGTTGGGAAGAAAGGAGCTGGGGTACGCAAGTGAGAAAATGATGCATGATAAGTTAAATAAGACCAAGTATGTCTTCATGATAAGGCAGTGATTTTCAGTGTATGAGGTAGCAGCCTCATAGGGAGCATTTGTAAATCTGCAAAAGCATTTTTTTTTTTTGAAACAGAGTCTCACTCTGCACCCAGGCTGGAGTACAGTGGCGCCATCATGACTCACTGCAGCCTCAACCTCCACACTCAGACAATGCTCCTACCTTAGCCTCCCAAACAGCTGTGACTACAGGCACATACCACACTACCACATATGGCTTTTTCTTTTTCTTGGTAGAGATGGCATCTTGCCATGCTACCCAGGCTAGTCTCAAACTCCTGGGCTCAAGCAGTCCTCCTACCCTGGCCTCCCAAATTGCTGGCATTACAAGTATGAGCCACTGTACCCAACCAAGAGCATTTTTCATGATCACTATGAACAGTAGGCTCTACTATTAATAGCACTCAGTGAGTAGAAACCCAAGATACAGAACATCCAAGGAAATGCAAGACATTCTTGCACAATGAAGACTTACTTCATCCCAAATGCAAAATGCATCCATGTATATACACTATGAGCTTTTCTCTTCCTTTATGTTTATGCTGACTTTGGTCTTTATTCTTGTTCAATATGATAAGTAAAGTACAACTTCTAAGACTTGTAAAACGTCCACCTGTGAAGTGAATAACTTTACTGTTAATAAATAAAACATGATCTAAGTCTTCTTGAATTTCCTTAATGTATTTATTTATAATTTCATTTTCTTACAGATTTAAATGTTATTAATCCTTTGCAACAAGGGTTTTTTTTTTGTTATTGTTGTTCATCCATTTATTTGTTGGGCTTAAGGTAATGGGGAAAAAGGAAAAAAACAGACCATGATGTTTGATGGACACATAACACTAGGGAACTCATTTCCACTTACGCTTGCGGTGTTTCAGGGAGAAGCCTGGAAGACTACCATAAGGGACCTCAAAAAACATCAACAGCATACTCCATTCTTCCTGCAAGACTAGTGATCCAGGCTCTCCACACTTTAAACCACTGTTCACCATTAACTACTGAAAGAGAGACTATTCACTTATAAAGTTGAATCTTAGAAACTTTAGGAGATAACATAAATCCCTATTAGCTATCAAAACCTTTTTAAATAAGCAACACAACTTTTTACATTGTAGCTGATCAACAGAGCCAGAAGTAGGGAGATAGTGTTTACATAGTAACCAACTGTTTTTAATTGAATTGTAAAGGAAAAAAACTAAGCTTTTACATAGTTATGAACATTTTAATTCATTAGTGATTTATAAAAGTTGCCAATAGTGACGGGTTCACTGGCTTTTACAAGCTGTTGCCTAAATGCCATAAATTATTTTGTTTGTAGTTAGGATCAGAATCAGAAGGGAAAGAAAGAAAATTTTATCTGTGGGCAGTTAGGTTTGCCACGAAACCTAGGGAATCTGAGTGCCTGAGTTTCTCTGGGGCCAATGTATTAAGTGCAATAAACAAACTCTTCAATAGCTATTTTTAGCTAGGATTTCTCAAGGTCCAAAGTTTAATCTAGGTTACCAAGAGAGGAAATTTTACAGATGATTTTACTCAAGATAATTCATAATGATTTTCTCTGATGTTTAAAAACACACAGATCCAACAACCTCACCCTGGTCTTTGACCTATATAGGGTATCAGAATCTGCAGCCCTGAGTTCTAAACTGACGACTTGAACTGACAGGAGTCTACCTCCTGGCATTTCAAGGCTATCAACAGAAACTGTAGAGGTATTTGGTCAACTTTTGAGGGAAGATTCCTAAGTTTTCCAATATTACACAGTCCTTCTATAATACTAATTCAGCAATTAATAAATACATGGCAAATAAACATCTCATTTTTGCCATAATAGTTCATAGATTCTCGCTAGTGATTGGGTTAATTTCAAATTTTGATATTCCCTTCAGTCTGAGTGACTTTTTTTTTTTTTTAATTGAGACAAGGTCTTGCTGTTTCACCCAGGCTGGAGTACAGTGGTGTGATCACAGCTCACTGTAGCCTTGACCTCCTGGGCTCAATTGATCCTCCCACCTCAGCCTCCTGAGTAGCTGCAACTACAGGTGTATGCCACCACGCCAGGCTAATTTTTTGTATATTTTGTAGAGACAGGGTTTTGCCATGTTGCCCAGGCTGGTCTCGAACTCCTGGGCTCAAGCGATCCTTGTGCCTCAGTCTCCCAAAATGCTAAGATTACAGGAGTGAGCCACAGCACCCAGCCCTGAGTGACATTTTTTGAGCAAAAACATTAAGACAAACAACCAAGGTAACCTCTATAGACTGTAGCTAATTATTTTGTTTGTTCTTTAGAATATAACACACACATACACATATATTCTCTCACAAATATTACTGGAGAAACAAGAGTTTTCTAGTATCTAATATATACAAGTATAGTACATGAGCAGCTATAAACATCATGCATGTAAGTGTTCCTGGGAATTTGCTTTAAGTCTTCAGATAGGTTCCTGAGGTAGAAAATTACAAAAAAGTAAAATTTACTAGAATCATGCAAGAGAAAGAAAATACATAATGGTTTGGAAGGAATAAAAATATGTAATCATTTGGAAGGAAAAAAATAAAAAATATAAAACCAAAATGGCCATTTTTTTAAAGTTGTTTTTTATATTTATGTATTTCCTCAAAGCTCTGCATTATCTTCCCTGAATCTGAGGAGTCAGTTCTACAGAGAGTGTCTGATCCTTTGGTCAAGGCATTGACCATTCATTTTGCCACCAATTTCAAGTCTGAAAATTTAGAAGGCTTAAAATATGAGTTTAACATTTTATTAGACATTTGCATTTCATGCCATTAGCTAAGACACTTATTCCGTTTAATACATATATATATATTATATATAATTTTAATTTGAAGCACTTCACTAAGAATGCTGTCTACATGAGAATGTTTTCACACGGCACACTTATTACTGTATCATAAATGCATTTTGCCTGTGCTTGTATTCCAAGCCAAGGAGACTGAGACTGTGAGATGTTTCCTAAACTAGCCAGGATCTGAGCCAGGATTTTAATCCAGGTCTTCTGATGTTAAGCACCTTTCATTACATAACCATTGTCTCCCTAATGAGGTTTCAATCTATTAACGAGACTGAAACATCTCTATTTTCTCCTATGCAATTGATTTTTTTCCTGTTAAATGAAAGTAGAGTCAATGAACAAGTGTAAAAGGAAATAAAACTGCAAACCCAACTAAGAAGTGGAAAGTATTATTCATACAGTATATTCGACTGTCACACAGACCACATCATCTCAACAGTCACAGTAAAGAAAGGTATCACAATCAGAGAAATAACCACACTGGAAAAGCAGTATTTGCTCCAATTCCCTAATAATTTATTTGAACAATGCTTAGAACAAATAAAATGATCACCAGTCATCACAAGTGTAACTAAGGCTTATTAAAAAGATAGAGGTAAGTCAAACGCCTAGTTACTACATAAATCTTGATCACATTTGAACACATCAAAAACTACCGGAAAAAAATCCTACCTCCCTGTTCTCTGCAACTTAGCAAAGCCACTTTCTGTATTCTCATCCTTTTTTTCTTTTCTAAAATGAAGAGAACAAGAAGCTGAAGATTCCTTCTCAACTGTTTTGTCTAGCGAGGCAATCAACCAGTGAAAACCAATAACACCTACAGCTTTTTAGTGCAGGCTCAGAATATGACATGCAATTATATATATTTATTCCACAAATGACATTTGCTATCTTCTTCCCCTCAGGCAACAGACACTACACAGTATTTCCTTCACAGAAGCACAGTATTTAAAAAAATGTTCGCTGGACATTTTGTTTTCTCTTTTTTACCACTTTTCAGATTTTATGGATTAGAGTTGAAAAGGCAACACTTGAAAATAAAGTATGGTTTGGAAATGGTTATCTGTAAATATGAGTTCAATATTCCCCTTTGACAGCCACAAGCAAAGTCAACAAAATATGTTCTGTACATGTTTGACATAAAGAAATATTTTCCAGATGACCTAGAGATTATGGACTTTCTGCAAAAGCAATTTTATCATAAGTGCTTGTATATGTACACATATGCAGCTACTCCCCAATCTGTAAACGGTTCTACTCCCAAAGATTTTTTATAAGTTTCTTCTAAAGCTTGAACTGCGTACACGTGTGTGTGTGTGCGTGTGCGTGTGTGTAGCCAGAGAGAGAATGTAGATATTCTTAACCAGCTTCTTAACTACACTTCTACTGCTTAAAGTATGACCCATGGACCAGCAGCATCAGCTCACCTGGCAGTAATAAGTAAAGAATCTCAAGCCCCACCCAGACCTATTGCATGAGAATTTGCAATTGAACAAGATTGCCCAGATAGTCCAATGCACACTATGGTCTAAGAAGCACTGGCCTATACCTCTCAACCCCACAGCCTCTCAAACTACTTTAGCTCAGTTTATCCAAAACCCAATGTCATCTACAACTGCTGCAAAGCCACCCCTCAACTATACACACAGCCTCTTTCTCCTCCTGTTTTCCCTGTGGTGCTGAGTGCACTCAGGGCACTAGGTTCCATCTAGTCACCTAAACAGAGACCTGGAAGCTGTCAGATAATTCTCCCTGTGCTCCCTAAAGGTACAAACCACGACTATGTTACTCTCCATTATGTCCCAGTACCTAGTCACTAGTTGGAACTTAATGAACATCTGTTGAATGAATAAAAGTGGTAACCATGCAGGCAGGGCCCTGAATACCTCCTCTGTATCCACACTGCCAGAGTCTCCTCATTAGTCCCTAGGGCTTTGATTTCATCTCCTATCAGTACATATTACTACCAGATGGATACATCTACAACACAAATAAGATGCTCCACTCCCACCCACACCCTCCATCACTCTTTTTTTCTCTCTTTCTTTTTTCTTTTTGTAGATTTAAGGAGTACAAGGGCAGTTTGTTACATACATACATTGCAAAGTGGTGAAGTCTGGACTTGCAGTGTACTCATTGCCCCAGTAGTGATCATTGTACCCAGTAAGTGATTTTCCTCCATTACTCTTTAAAACTCTTTAAGGTCTCCCATAGCCTAAAAATCAAACTGCAGCACCTTAGAATGGCCACTGCTTACTCTTCTAGCATCTCACTCACTGTCTCACTCATCTGCCTCCACCACATCACCTGTGTTCCTCTCTTACTGAGTATAAGCTACCCATTGCTACCATCTGAATTCCTAACCAAGGTGGGATAAATTAAATCCTTATTGTCTGTAAGTATAAAGCAATGCATTGCATGTACCCTTCACAAAAGCCACATTAGACCTTAAAAATACTGCCATTAATCATGAAAATTAAAAATATACACAAATATGCTCCTATAAACAGCTATTAACTACAAAAACCAAACACCAGTATAAAACCACCTCTTAATTTTATTGTGGGGGGTTATGTGGGGACTAACTGGCTAGAAATTATAATGATACAAATCCAAATAAATTAGGTCTGAAACACCTTCTTAATGTCTAGCATGTTCCTAAGCATGCAAATTTTTCATCTTTCATCCAGAGATATTCCTAAGTTTTCCAAAACATAGAGAAATGCCTACAAAATTTTAATAGCTCAATTGCTGTGCATGAATTCCTTTTTTCGTTTTTTCCAGGCAAATACATTAGAGGGGTAGGTTTCACGCTGGCTCCAGTTGAGTCTTAAAAAGTAAAAAACACTTTTGATTCCTACTAGAGGGGCCTAAAAACAGCATAAATCAAAGGGCCACCACTCAAGCTGTATAAACTGTGGGTGTCTGAACACATAGCTCCAAAGCTGAAATCTCTTAACATTTACTCATTTCAATGCCTTTTCCAGATTCCATGTGCCTTAGAATATACTGCAACCCCAACCCCCCATATGAGACAGCCACATCCTCCAATACTTAATCCTCTTAACATAGCTCAACTGTCACACTTTTTAAAAATTTTTATTTTTAATTTTAGTGGGTACATAGTAGTACATATTTTGTTGTCTAGGCTGCTCAGAGATTTTATATATATATATATATATATATATGTATGTATGTGTGTGTATATATATATACACATATATATATATACACACATACATACATGAGATATTTTAATACAAGCATGTAATACATAATAACCACATGATAAAGAATGGGGTTTCCATCCCCCTAAGTATCTATCCTTTGTGTTACAAACAATCCAATTATACTCTTTTAGTTATTTTAAATTAAATTATTGACTATAGTCTCCCTATTTTACTATCAAATACTAGGTCTTATTCATTCTTTCTATCTTTTTTGTACCCACTTACCATCCCCCCTGCAAACTACCATTCCCAGCCTCTGGTAACCATTCTTCTATTCTCTATCTCCATGAGTTCAATTGTTTTGATTTTTAGACCCCACAAATAAGTGAGAATATGTGATGTTTATCTTTCTGTGCCTGGCTTATTTCACTCAACAAAATGATGTCCAATTCTATCCATGTTGTTGCAAATGACAGGATCTTATTCTTTTTTAATGGCTGAATAGTACTCCACTATGTATATGTACCACATTTTCTTTATCCATTCATCTGTTGATGGACACTTAGGTTGCTTCCAAATCTTGGCTATTGTGAACAGGGCTGTAACAAACATGGTTGTGCAGATATCTCCTTCAATATAATGGTTTCCTTTCCTCTGGGTATATACCCAGCAGTGGGACTGCTGGAGCATATGGTTGCTCTATTTTTAGTTTTTTGCGGAATCACCCAACTGTTCTCCTTAGTGGTTGTACTAACTGGCATAATTTAATAAAGCTTTTCTTGACCTATTCCCAAAGGAAACTACCTGCTCCCTCTTTTATGTCCTCATCATACTTTATAAAGACTATTATCACAGCTACTATTAACAATTTACTAACTGTCTCCTACCAAACTCTAAGTCCTTGGGTGCAGGGTCCATGCTCTCCTCTTTTTATCCCAAATATTTATCATGGTACTTCATACTGAATTAACAATTATATAATGTAAGTAAAACAGCATGAAGAAGAGCCACACAGGCATAGTCCTGTTGAGGAGGCGGAACTTGCTAACCCCACACAAAATGGGATCTGGGCTTGGAAGACAGGTGAAAACTGGCAACTGAGGCATAACCTAATAAAACAGTGAAACGCTCATGAAGAAATGAGGTGGAAGTTTGGATGGCAGAAAAGAAAGGAAAAGGAAGAAAAGAAAAATGGTAGGAGAGACCATTCTATGAGAGGCCATTGGTAGGATAAGTGCTGAAAACTGATATATATCACATATCTCACACATACATCCCCCACATTCTTTTCCTATTACTTAATAAGTTTGTCCACATATAATGTGTCATCAATGATGCTATCGTAAATTTCTTAACTATATAATGGTGAGCATCACAAAAATATTAATAAAGACACTTTGATGAGTTGACTACTATGAAATTTATATTACATAATGAATTTAACATATATAATCTGACATTAAAAATATGCCTACCAATGGTCCCCAAAACAGATAGAAAATATAAAGAAATCATTTGTATTGCCAAATATTTTAGATGTGTCCAATCTTAGCAGAAAGTAAATGGAAAGCTCATTACATGGCCATCAAACGTAGCAGAGTAGAGTAATGTTACTCAAACTGAACTGCTTTGTTCCAGACCCTAAGACTAAGGGGGTGTGGGGGGCTAGGGGAGGGATAGCATTAGGAGAAATACCTAATGTAGATGACGGGGTTGATGGGTGCAGCAAACCACCATGGCACGCGTATACCTATTTAACCAACATGCACGTTCTGCACATATACCCCAGAACTTAAAGTATAATAAAAAAATAAAAACAAACAAATTAAAAACAACAACAACAAGAACAACAAAATAATTAACTTAGGCCAGGTGTGGTGGCTCATGCCTGTAATCCCAGCACTTTGGGAGGCTGAGGCGGGCGGATCACCTGAGGTCAGGAGTTCGACACCAGCCTGGCCAACATGGTGAAACCCCATCTCTACTAAAAATACAAAAAAAATTAGCTGGGCATGGTGGCGGGCACCTGTAATCCCAGCTACTGGGAAGGCTGAGGCAGGAGAATCGCTTGAACCCAAGTGGCAGAGGTTGCAGTGAGCCGAGAATGCACCATTGCACTCCAGCCTGGGCAACAAGAGCGAAACTCCATCTCAAAAAAAAAAAAAAAAAAAAAAGAAGAAAGAAAAAAAAAAGAATTAACTTAGATTTTCTGGTTCTGAATACCACACGTTCTCACTTATAAGTGGGATTTAAATGATGAGAACACATTGACACATATACACACACTGTGGCCTATTGGAGGGTGAACAAAGAGAGAGAGGATCAGGAAAAATAACTAATGGGTACTAGGCTTAATACCTGGGTGAAATAATTTGTACAACAAACTCCATGACACAAGTTTACTTACGTAACAAACCTGCACATGTACCCTTGAACTTAAAAGTTTTAAAAAAGAATAAACTTAGAAATTTTGGTAGCAAGTCAACGTTTTCTTGTCCATTAGATCTAATAATAACAATTTGGGGCATGTATTTTATGTGTCTTTTTATACAATTGTATAAATTAATTTAGCTGTATTTTATGAGAGAACCAATCTGCAATGGATTGGAAGAAAAAAGAGAGCAGGAGGTGGAGGAGGGGGAAGAAGGGAGGAAGAGGAAGACTGATTCATCACGACAGAGAGTTTGAGAAGTTCTGTACTTCTAGATGTAACCCCACCAGAAAGCCCATCCAGCAGGTAGCTAATGCTGGTCTCACACTAGATGTTGAAATGGGCTGAGAATTCTTGGTAAAAGATCAGGGGCAACTTGTATTTTGTTGTCTAGTCTGCTCACAGATATGGAGCATTTGGGGCAGTGCCTTAGTGATGCAACTTCTTTTATTTATTAGATGAGTGTATTTACTGATATTTTCTAGAGAGAAATATAAATGCTCCTGCTTTAAGAAAAATCATTTTTTATTTGAACTTGATGGGTTTAAAATAAACACATTCTAAGGTCCATTTCAACCCTAATTCTCTGAACCTCTGATTCTATTGTTATTGCTGGAAAATGTGCTAAATTCATTCAACTACAGTTCTAAAAATAGTATATTTGACGCTGGAATCAGAGAAGGATTTTTTAGTTAAACTTAAAATCTGCACTATATACAGCACGAGATAAGATTAGAACCCTCAAATCCAAGAAATAACAGAAGAAAGCACTACCTGGGAAAGAGAAATCATTCCTTTACCTGGTAAGGAGGGCAGCAGAAGGAAAATGGAGGGGAGGGAAGGGAAGAAAGCAAGTAATGCGATTTGCCTAATAAATCAGGCACCCAATTAATGAAATGTGAATGGCTAGTAATAAATTAGGCACTGGGAAGGCTGAAGTTTTATTTGAACAAAACACAATCCTTAAAGATGGGAAATTAGCAAACTAACGTGATGCAATTCTGAGTAAGCGAGAGAATGGAATACAGTACTTCAGCTTCTTAAGACAGAGTGACCTCATCATAGTTTTAAATAGACTGTCCATTATAACCATAAATTATCATCCCATGAAACTTTGATAGACTAGATGCTGACCTGGAAATTAACAATCAAGCATACTGCAGAAAAAAATTTAAAGTGAACCTTTTCATTTATAAGCAGCATGGTGCTGATTAGAGAAAAAACAAAAACCATTGCAATTTAAAAAACCGCTATTGTTACAATAGAAATTCGTTGAATTAGCAATGAGAAACACAATACTTCACCTGTCTTAAAAATCACTCTGTACTCCGCCATGAAGATTTGTTGAACACCGGTTCTTATTTGTAAAGCATTAGTAGTTGAACAGAAAAGAAAGTTACAGAATTTTCTTTTGCAGTTTAATAAACTGCTAATCAATTTACTGCTATACTACATAATTCTGTGGCTATAGCCCCAAAGTGAATCCATCATATCATCAAAAGAATATCATAATAGAGTGTGTGTGTATATATATATATATAATATATACACTACTTTCCAGAAGAAATATTCCCAGATGGTTATCACTATTTGCGAAAGTCACAATATTCTTATATAAACAATACCACTTAGTCCATATACTTAATATCATTTAAAATTCTGAGATATCTATCAGCAACAAGATAATTCGTTTCCTCTCAAAACATTCTGATTCCAATAGTTTACTAATATTATTTGTTTTTCTCTAATGAATTGAAGCCCTCTCCTTTACTTTGAGCACTTTCTTTAATAAATAGCTAAACATTTAAAAAATTTATATATATAAGGGAATCACTTTAAAATGTAGTTAAAAGAATATACTTGGTAATTTATTACTCCTTAATAACTGCAAGGCAATGTATAACTCCTAAGAGTCAGTTATTCTGGAACAAATATAAAATTTCACTTTTTAAAGGTATTAGGCAGTATTTGCATTATTATGAGTATATATTTTCTCTGATAAGCCAAATAGTCTATTATGATATTTCCCTTCTTGTAAAACTTTATATTTTTCCTGGATTTAACAGTTGCCTGTCCTTTTCCCCTTTGCTTAGACTCCAAAATTCTCCAACATTAAAATCACTTTCAGTATGGATTTTCATATGATCAAAGATATCAGTTGATCTATCTTCCTGAAGCCATCAGGGCTCATGCTCCAATTTGGGTTTGTTGTTCCCTAGAGCTGTCAAACAGCTATTGTTTTGCGATTTTCTTTCACTTCTAGTTTCCACTATGCTCCATGTATATCCTATGTCACTTGGATTCTTAATCCTTCATATGTTGTATATGAAGGAGAAAAATACATATGTATTTTTCTCATCTAGAGGCCTCTGTGATCTGGTCTTCATGCCTAGCGTTCTGAAATTTTGCGATTTTGTTTCTACCCATTTTTCATTAATTTGGCAATGCACTCAGCATGTGGAAGCACCTTTCCTTCCGTCCTGGGACTTAATTTTATTACTTTGAGAATTTATTTTATTTGTTCTGCTCTTTTTCTGAAAACAGTGTAAGCTGGATACTATATGTTCTACTTGTTCTATTTTCTAGGATACACCCTTAATGCTCAAATGCTTCTACTCTTTATTTTACTCCTGCTTCCAAAGTTTTAGTTCTCACAAGGTCTCTCTTGTTCTTCATTAGCTCTGACAGTAATAGCATCACATTCTGTTTTGTGGATGCAACTTTTATTTCTCTAAGTTAACATTCTCTCTTGCTTATTTAAGCCATTTTTTCTGATCCATACCTATTAATTTAGTTTCTCCAATTTCCTTTTTAGTGGGTTTTTCCCCTTCTTGTGGCCTATTTATTTCTTGTCAGAGCACACTCCAAACACTTGGTGATTCTTATACATATTTACAAGTGAGAAAATAAACAGCCTAGGAACACTATGCACGAGGGCTGCAGCTTGTCAACCAAAGGGTTTCACTGCAGAGTGAACAGATTTTCAAATGTGACCTGACTCTTCAAATGTCACCATCTCTTTCCTCTGGAGCCAGTTTCTCCAGAAAATTAGCTTTCACTAATCTGTGTAGAGATGCATGAGGGGACAGTTATAGGCCAGTCTGCCAGTGCTATCGGAAGTAATTGATGGGATATCTCACTGTGTATTGTGAGACTGACTCCACCCCCAGCTGTGCATGGTGTTCCAATGTATGCAACCTCTCTAAGTTCAATGTCTCCATAGAATAAACCTCATTCTGACTAGAGTAAGGGCACTCCAGTAGTCAGTGTCTGTTCATGCAGGGAAAGCTATAACATATAGCAACATTTATAAAATTTAGCAAAACTATAACATATAGCAAAGCTATAACATACCCTACTTAGACTTTGAACAAACTTCCTTGTTTCAGCCCCGTATTTCACAACTGGCTTCCGCACTTCCTCACATTGCCAATTGCTGTCCTCTCCCAGGTTCTGAATCATGATTTTGCTTCCTGCTTGTTGGCACCTCCCCCTGCAAGCACTAGGTATGCAACTTCTTCTGCTCTAGAAACCCCTCCTTCTAATTTATATTATCCATAAATTCATAGTATTTCTAACTGATTGTTATCTCCTCTCCAATCCTCTTTATTCATGTATGTTTCTATCCTTTTTTCCCCTTTATTTTAGCCTTAGTGAGATATTCAGGAGGGTATAGAGATAAACATATTTGCTCATGTTACCATGTTGAACTGGAGTCTCAATATTCTTTTTTCTATGTTAGAAAACATGTTATTCCCAATTAAATCAAGTTATCTGAAATTTGTTACAGAAAAGAACTATACTACTCATATTACTCATTCACCCTCATTATTCAAAATAAAAATTTGCTTTTTTTTTCTTCTTGGTCCATTAGTATCAAACAACAAAAGCCAACCAACCAACAAAAAAAACTGTCACATATTTATGAACCATTCAACAAACTAGAATGCTTCCTATAATTTCCTTGGCTATGGACGGAGGGAGAAGAGTCTCGAATAAGCTGCTCTACTCTATGTGTCCACTTTCTAGATACAAGACACTAAACCTATCAATCACCTACAAAATGTAAAGTACCACTCCATGTCTTTGGCATCCATCAGAAATTCTCTGGCTAGTCTTCCCTTGTAAAATGACAATGTCACATAACATGAGTTGAATTCATTGCAGAAAAGGTATGTTTGACGGGACAAGAGGACATGAGTATGACAAAAAGCATTAAGAGTGAGTGGTTTTCCTTGCCATTTATCATTCCTCTTGTATCCTCCCCTCCTTTGTAAAATATCTCTTCCAAAGTGCTGAAATCGCAGATGAGCTTATCATAGCACAGTAACAGACAAAAGAAATTCCAAAAGGAAAAAAGACAGACTGTATAACAAGAAATACTTGATGTTGGATTTCAATTAAGTTTCAAGCCTGCTCCATGTGTTTCACTCTTCACTGGTAGTTTTAACAAAACCAATTAAGAATTTACCATGGTCCACTCAGTTTTCTGATAAAGTTGATAAAAAAGTAAATGTAGGCACCACAGAGGTTCAGCATTGATTCCACAGGCCTTTCCCTTCCTTCAGACTAAAAGCTTTCAGTAATCCAACTTAGAAAACAATAGAAACATAAAACAAAACAGAAAAGCATATCTCATTAAAACATTGGGTTGTGGATAAAGAAAAGAGAAGTTGTGTGAATGACATTAATCACAAGCATACAGTGAATTCAAAGAGGCGCCTGGTTATCCAACAAACTAAGGCAACCTGAAGCAACACACTTTGAAGCATGGGAGGTCTCCAACTAATACAAGCAGAGCTTTCGTCAAATCTCTGGTTGTAAAGATTAATATTAAGTCACTTTTTCTGTTCAGGAAAACATTGAGGTGTCTGATAAGTTTATCAAATATTTTCAATGATAAAAGATGCTTAGGCAGGGTTAAATGACTTGGTATGTGCCCATTCAAATTCTTAATAGGAAAGAAAATGCTAATGAAAGAATTGCTAAAATCTGAATTTGATTTCTGAACGCAGGACCACATATAAAACACCCCATGAGTGTGTTAAAAGTCAGCCAATTGTAAGTAACACAAAGGATAAGAATGGGGACCGCCTCTCCCATTACATTACTAAACCTCCCCTAACATTTATAATACAGGTCTACATACTTAGAAGCACTGTCACAATTATTGACTTGCAAATGAGAATGGCTCACAGTGCTAACATAGCTTGCTCCTCAAATGCAGATCAGATAATGACAGCTTAAGCACTAAGTGTATATGCTACAGAAATTAAATGAAAACAAGGTACAACACCTTCTCAGAAAAGCAAAATACATTAAAACGTATGCTGAGCAATGAAACAAACATTTAATCCGTGAGTTCCTCATAACATTATAAGATTTTGATTTGTTGAGTCTGGAGAAAAGGCTCATGAGCTCTGATTTATCAAAGTAAAATACTTTGGTATAAGGCTAATTTTAAAGAGGTATTTGATAATTAAATATTTGTAGGTGTTAGCATGTAATAAGGGCTAAAGAGATGGTTCTTTTATTTTAACTATTATTTAGTGATTGCTAAAGAAATTATTCGGTTTAAAAGCTGCTGTTTTCCAATGATGATAGCAGTTTAGAGTATAAACACTCTCATCATTTTTTCCCTTTATGCCCTAGAGCATACTTTCACATTATACCTAATAGCTTTATTCAACCTGCACAATAATTTGTTCATGTGTTCTCCTGTAACACTTAATTATGAGCTCCTTGAAATTAAGGAAATATTGGACATCTTTGTGTCCCAGACATTTGGCTTGATGTGTATGAAAAGCATGAAAGACAAACCATGAATGGATAATGACATATACCCACACATTAGGAAAACTAGCCATGAATGTCGATTTTATTAGTATATCTGGACAATGGACTGCCTTCAAGCTCTCTGCTTGGTAATAGTCTAGGGCATGAATAAAAAATAGTTCTCCACTCAAAGAGCAAGGTTCATCAAATGAAGGTTACAGCTTGGAGCACTTTGTTAAAAATGATTCTGATAAAGAATTTGGGTACAGTTTAGAAGGCAATATACCATGGATGCATAAAAGAAGATAAACCTGGTTATAGTCACTATTCTAAGCCTGGATTTAAAAATCTGATGGTGGCCTCAAGTATATACAGGAGAACACCCCTGTGAAAAAATCATTGAGACTGCTTTGAGCATGAACAAAAGACAGCACATATATGAACGTTATTAATTTTTTTCATATATATGCATATTAGCTAGAGGATCAGAAAACAGACTCTTTGTCCAAATATCTTGCTCATATATGTCATCAACAAAATATCTTCAGAACAGTGGTACGCAGAGATAAAGGGATGGGGCAGTGACTCCCCACTCACTCTCTCTTAGTAATGACTGACTACATACATGGTTAAAAAAAAATTGAAGAAAACATGTTTGCTCATATAATATCCTAATAATATATAATATTAATCTCTTAAAATAAAAGCATACACATTTTTAAAACTTCACAACAACCAATCTTAGGTACACTTTTAGTCTTAGTGAAATAATGTAAAATTATATAAAGAATATTAATATTTAGTGGTTGACTTAAATTTCCAAAAATGAATGATTTACTTGTAAAGTCAAAAAAATAGTTAATCATTAATTAAATGATGAAATATGTAAAGCCTTATCTATTCATTGGTAGTAATTATAATTTTCAGTAGCTAATAATTTACTGATTTAAAAAGCAAAATAAATAATGAATATAATTGCACTGGGATGATTAAAGAGTATTTTCTAAACTTATTTTCTTCCAAGAATATATTTCATTGTTTCCCTAGAAAACAGAGCTATAATTATGGTTAGGACAATTATCCACAATATGATCATATTCATTTTTTATGGCAAAGAAAAAGAAATACAATCTTCAAAAAATTTCATAGTAACATCCTGTTCATAACAAACAACATATCTCTTTAAATAAACAAAAACTTAAGTTAATGTTTTAAAAGGATGTAATGTTTTAAAATTTAGATCTTAATAAAAAAATCAAACAACTTGTTTTTCAAAAGGACATAACTAGTTGATAAAAAGTCCCCTCCCTCCTTCTCATCCATCAAAATAATTAGGAAATTAAAGCTCTTTAACCATCTTTCAAACCAACAATGTACTGTTTTCAACTTTTAACTTGAATACTTTCAAACTGTTCCCTCTCTGTTTCTACTGCTATGACATACAAATCTGGGTTCTCATCAACTTCAGAACTGAGTTACCAAAAAACAAACAAACAAACAAAACAAAACAAAAAAGCACAACTTATCAGCCTAGCCATGTAATCCTTTGGCTTTGCAATTTACTCCCAGATTAATCTTCTTCTATAAAATGATTTACTGTATAACATCATAACCAATCTCCTCATTTCTCAGCACATGCGTGCACACACACACACACACACACACACACACACACACACACACACACCCCTCCTTGTTTTCTATCTAATTAGGCCCTCATTTTTTCCTGAACTCCATTCTCTTGCATTCTCTGCTGCAGTTATGCTCATGCAACTTTATTTGCTGTTGATAGTAGCTAAACAAGGCAACCAAGGTCTCCTAAATCCCAGTCCGATTCTCATACCAAAGACAGAACTCATGGCCTAAATTATGTGCTGCCATTTTATAGGCGGTTGGAGTGTGAAAAACATGAGAATACCATGTGGGGAGTATAAGATATTAACTTTATTTCCCCAACCTGGTCATCTGTTCCTAATCCTTAACCTAACCGTGTTTTGTCCTTCATACTCATGAATTGCTCTGAACGTCTTTCACTGTAAGAGGGTGTATTGCTGTGCTTAACTGATGTGATCACTTTGATTCTGTATCTGTTTTCCAGGTCAGTCTCACCTACAATGGCTTGGTTTGAAAGCATGTGTCAAGTATATATTTGATGCATTACGTTGTATTATTTCCAGGGATAAAAGAAATTATTGAGAAAAAAATAAGCCAAGAGGAAAAAAAATTCTTTTATGCAATTCTGTCTGCCTATAAAATGTATTTGTTTATCTCTGAAGATAGCAGAACTAATGACAAAAGGCATCTTAGAGGCAGGAAAACCAGAATAGAGTTCACTTGCTTCATGTAACTGCATCTAACTTCAAACTTAAAATTGGAAAACAACCAAGAACAAACTAAAGTTAAGCATGAAGTTCATACCTACAATGTCATCCTAGGCATTCATTAGAAAACATATGTGCCTGATACAGAAAAGGTTGCACAGTACATTGTTTATGAAATAGCCAGTTGGAGAACTGTATACATAGTATAATTCCCTCATTTTTATAATCTTTAGAAGATAAAATTTTAGGCCAGGCACAATGGTAGATACCTGTAGTCCCAGCTACTTGAGAGACTGAGGCAGGAGGATTGTTTGAGCCCAGAAATTCTAGGCTATAGTGCACTATGATCATACTTGTGAATAGCCACTGTACTCCAGCCTGGGCAACATATCAAGATCTTGTCTCTTTAAAAAAAAAATCTATTACATGCTTGCTTATATATGATGGAAAATGTATAGAGGGTATACACAGGAAACTATTTACACGGGTTACACCGGAGTGGATAGGAAAAATTTCTAGTTTTCACAATAAAGTGTCTAGACATATTAATTATTCAATAAAAGCATATTTAAAATGAACACAAATGGGCTAAAGGCTATGCTGCTGGTCATCTCAGGAGTTTCATATTACTGTCACACTTTAAAGTGATCACAAATATTCCAACTAACAGTTGAAAAACTGATGAAAAATGTTTCCACCTTACTTCAAAAGAAAAGCATACAAATGTTGCTTAGTTGTTTGCCATTCAAATACTAGATTGGAAGTAGTTATCCAAGGAAAAAAAAAATTTACCTCATTTCTACAGTTTCAAGCTTCAAAGATTTTATTAGTTCTTAGTTGTTGTTTGTTTGGTTGGTTTGAGTTGTTTTTATTCTGAGGCTCTGCCAAATAAATGATCCTGGCAGTTATGATGTGTAAAACAAAACAAGAGCATCTAATAGATAAACAAGTATAGGGGCATTTTGAATTATATTTACTTAGGTCTAAAAAGCAGCCTTCCAAAACATAGAGTTAACATGTGCTGACAATGTCATGTGAAGTCTTAACTTCATTACCTAGAACACATTGCTTCTCTATTAAATATGAAAATGGTTATGTCTCTAATATCTGCTTTCATTATCACCTAATGCCATTATAGAATAGATTACATTTTTAACAGCATGGCAGCGCTGGCTTCAGTACAGTTTATAGAGCCAAATAGAATATCATTAAAATCAAATTAAACCATCTACTGGTAAGGTAAATCTACTTAGGCACATCAGGTTTTAAACAAAGCAAAATCACACACAGCATGAGAAAGAACCATTGAGTTTCTGCAGTATTCTAAACCAGAGAAGTATTGCAAGGTGCTCAACTAAACCAATTATTCTTCATTTAATTGGCCATGCTATTCGCAATGAACACCCCTTCAATAAATGGTTCACTATAGGCATATTGACTTGAGAACTTAAGCTAAGTTTTCAAACTAGAAAAGAAAATTGTCATCTAATGATGGAAGAACACTACAGCCTTTTCAAAGCAATCACAAGGCTATGTAAAATTATGCCAAGTCTTTAAAGAAAAAAAAGAAAGCAGGATACTGATTAAGCCATCAGGTTGTAAATTAATATTAATAAATAAACCACTGGAGTTTAATTAGTTTCAGGCTTTCTTGCTTAGATAATTTAAAACTCAAAATAGCAAGCAATAGGTGTACATATGCCACTCACAACGTGGAAGAAAGTTGACTTGGGAATAAGGCCCTTTAATGCACACTATATACACAGGACATAAGTGTACCCTGTTCTCAGGATCTATTGACACTTTGATATAAACGAATAATGAGAAAATCTGCTCAAAAATGAAAAGCAGTAACACAAATCAATTTCAACAAAAGAGATAATTTATCAGACAAAAAACTGACTATTTTCCAAAGACCTGGAATAAGAAAAGAAAAAAAGAGAAGCTGTTTGTTTGGTACTGCCAATTTCACATAAGATAGATGTGAAATGACTACATAATTAGGCTGCTTATGTACTTTCTAAGCCAAAGTAACTTTCCTAATGAGTTGTTTATTACTCACATAACTCTCCATAACTTTTTTGAGTTATTCTGTTAAGGTGTGCATTTTCTCTTTAGCTTCTTTCTTTTTTACCTCCCATCAGGAGCTAAAATTGCTTCTGCCTGATTACCCCAAAGACCCATCTTGCCTTTGTACCCTCAGTAGTTAACCGACATCCAGGCGAGAAGCTGGAAGAACACGTACTTTAATGATTCTTGAAGTATGAGTCTGCATCAGGTTTGGATTCTGTCACTGCTTCCACCACTACCTTTTTACCAATCCAGAGTATAGTGCAGGACAGAAAACTGGCACTGCATAGGGGTCAAGGAGATATCTTTCTCTATTTATATCATTATTTGTTTACAAAGAATCTATGTCTCTAGGTTTCTATGAAGTTCCAGGGATCACAAAATTAATCCCAAATTTAAAGGAAGCATAGTTCAACTACAGTAATTACAATAGACTGTGTAGGGCTTGGTTGATTTCAAAAGCAGTATAAGTCAACACTATTATGGGATTACCGGAACCAGGAAATAAATAAGGGGTGGTGTCTTTGCTTGCAATAGTAGAGGCATAATGTCCTATGTCTGAAAGAGAAGAGTCTCCCCTCCCTGACTTAAGATGAGTCCAGGGCCTTCAAAACATTCACAGGGGGATTGGGAGAAGAAACTGAATGCCAGCTATATTCAAATAGCTCAAGGGTCATCACATGAAAGGAAATGTTAGTTTCTTCTGTGTGCTCCCACAGGGAAATGTAAAATGAATGCATGTTAAGACACAGGTAAACATATCTCATTCCTTGCAAAAAAATTATCTGAAAACCAAAGCCTTCCAGAAATAGAAAAGGTGTCAAAATTTCCTCCATAAGCATAGTGAGTCCCAGCTGGCATTGCCCTACCCTTTCTGATGCCGGAGGTCTAGACTTTAGGGCCATGGGTAATGCAATTTCTGGGTTCCACAGGCAGTGATGACACAATGGCAGTGAATCCTTTGAGACCCAACTCTTCATTTTTATATCAGAAAGGATATTCTTAGATAACGTAAGCTACCTACTCAATATTTTTTCATCAGATAAAAGTCCTCATTATAGTATAAACTGTAAAAGGATTTCGTAGTTTGTAAAAATTGTTTATAATAAAATAGTAGTAGTTAGAAGGTAAATGCTTAGGCGAGGAAGATGAGAAGACAGATATGATGCAATGTGTCATATCAGTTATTCAAATACCAAAACGAGTGTAGCCATCATATTATGATTAGTTACAACAGCGCACAATGCTCCTAAAATATAGAATGCAACAAAGTAGCGTCTTCTCTCCATGGACATGGTAGTCGCATTTTCAAAAAGTTTATGGTATAATAAAACCATGGGAAAATAATTTTTAATATATAGTAGACTAACTTTCCAAAACCGGAAAATTATATACAGGATTTTCCTTATGGGACTGGTTTGAAGGATATTTGAAGGGCTTTAAGGACTAAAGGCATCTCTGAGCAATGCAGAAAGTCTAGTTACTTTAATATCCAATCACTACAAGTTCATGACAACCACTCGACATGGTAATACAGAAATGTGAATGTTGTGTTTCCAAAGTGCCTCCTGAGGGTGATTCTGGTTTTGCTCACTCCACGGAGATGGACCTGGCAGAGGCTTCAACAAAAAAGTCAAAACCCCAAGCTCTTGGGAACTGACGTAGAAGGAAGCAGGAAGAAGGAAGATGAGGCCTGGTGGAGTTTCTTGACTGGAAACAATTAGCTGCATTGTTTTTTATACGGTTTCTCCAGCTGCACCCTCTTTCCTGAGCATTGAAAAATACAGATGAGAAGCAGAGGGAGGTTGTAGTTTCTATTTGGTCACAGAGAGTAATCAAGTGGAAGCCAGATCACCATTTACAAGAAAGACTGAATGGGAGATTTGGACATGTACGATTCTATGAGACTGTGTGAAATGTGTATTCACATAGTACTCTGTTACCATAGTAACCAGTCACGTCAGGCTTCCTAGGAGTCTAGGGAGGAGCTGTCAACTTTCACAACTAGTTCATTCACAAACAACCCTTCTTACAAAATGCTTTGTGATGGCAGTGACCACGTAGTTAATCATCCAAAGCAGGTCACTTTTTACAATACAAGTAGATGCTCTTAACAATTTAGAAGGTACAACAAGTATCAACCAGAACTGTCCCAAGCAAACTGATTTACATTGGAATTTATGTCTAAGTAAAGAAGAACCATCAAGAAACAATAACTATTACACTGTGTAACATTACTACGTACATTATATCCCCACATGATCACCAAACCATTCAGGGCTTTTCTTTCTTCTATATTTATAAAAATAAAAAGTAACAAAATTATGGCTTCATGAAAATAATGATAGCTTCTTGTGTTTCTGTATGTTTTTCCCAAGTTAATATACTTGCTGTATGACTATGTTTATACTAAAGTGTATATACTTTAAACTGCCTCTACCAATTATAGTTTAAAATATGTTTAAAACATGTCATGCTATTAAACTAAAAGCATAACTAAGTTAGAAAAATACATATAAAAATACATTGTGTGTTAAGTTGACAAAGTGCTTTTAAAATAATACAGAATATATAATAATATTAGAATCACTCATCCAAAATGAGAACAAGCATAAATGTGTATATTCATGCTAACCAAAAAAATAGCAACATCATGAATTATCGCTATGTTTATATTTCAAATATTATAGTGAAATAAATGTTTTTAAAGTCATTTCTTATCACAAAAATAAAGACTTACCTACCAAAATATTGACTTTTATACTTAAAAAGTCACAATTTGTTATATCAAGAACCTTTAAATTCTTTTCAAAAAGCATATCATTTACATTGTAAACAAGAATTATTTGTGTCCAATATACCTAGGCAGCATGGTCTTCTAAAAAGAAATAAAGGTCTCTTTGACGGGAGGAAAATATTTGGATCTGTTGTATTTTCCAGTTCATTGTTCCAGTTCAGTATTTTGTTCCACTATAGTAGTTTCCTTAAAAAAGTACCTACTCAATAAGTGCCCATTAAATCAAAAAATGGATGACTGACTGAATGAATGAACCAGCATTCTCTCAAACAGGAATGTTTAAGAGGATAAATTATTCAATTATGATCCTACAATGATGATCAGTATTCCCACTGAAATAAACTAAATACATATAAAACATTGTTGCAGTTTGCTTTCTTCCTAATATTTTCTTAGCCATAAAAAAATTAAGATTATAAATGCAGTCCTATTATGTGTAATAAAGTTTCAGAAATTAAATTACCCATGACAGCCCAGTGCAGTGGCTTACGCCTGTAATCCCAGCACTTTGGGAGGCCAAGGCGGGCAGATCACTTGAAGTCAGGAGTTCGAGACCAGCCTGACCAACATGGCAAAACCCTGTCTCTACTAAAAATACAAAAGTTAGCTGGCTGTGGTGGTGCACACCAGCAATCCTAGCTACTCAGGAGGCTGAGGCAGGAGAATTGCTTGAACCCAGAAACCAGAGGTTCCAGTGAGCTGAGATCATGCCACTGCACTCCAGCCTAGACAACAGAGCCAGACTCAATCTCTAAATAAATAAATAACACATGACTATAGATCCAATTATTTAAATTTGGTTCAACAATTTCAGCCAGTGTCAGAGGACTTGCTATGCACCAGTTACTTCTCAGTCACTAAGGATATGTAATTATAAGTTATGCCCTCAGGCAGCTTTTTGTCTAACAATAACCATTTTTCTTTTCTGAGATGGAGTCTCACTCTGTCACCCAGGCTGGAGTGCAGTAGCGCAATCTCGGCTCACTGCAAGCTCTGCCTCCCGGGTTCATGCCATTCTCCTGCCTCAGCCTCCCGAGTAGCTGGGACTGCAGGCGCCCGCCACCAGGCCCGGCTAATTTTTTTGTATTTTTAGTAGAGACGGGGTTTCACCATGTTAGCCAGGATGGTCTCGATCTCCTGACTTCGTGATCCGCCCACCTCGGCCTCCCAAAGTGCTGGGATTACAGACGTGAGCCACCGTGCCCGGCCTGAGCCACCATGCCCGGCCACCATTTTTCAATTGACCTATTTTCTTTTTGTAAATTGGCAGATAAATCTGTATATATTTACAGTGTACAATATGTTTGTAAAATGACTAAATCTAGCTAATTAACATATGCTTTAACTTGCAGTCATCATTTTTGTGGTGAGAACACTTTACATTCACTCTCTTGGCATTTTTCAAGAATATAAATATATTATTAACATAGTCACCATAGTTTTACAATAGATCTCAAAAGATCTTTTGTCATAAAAATAAGTATTATTATAAAAGTTTATCATACACCTCATTACTCTCAGTAATTGATCAAAGAGTATGTCTCGTATATGACATTTACATAGTGGCTTTTTAAAACTATCCTCAATCATATATGTAAACTCATACTGAGTTAATATGATGGTGTTAATAGAAAGAGCCAATCTAACTTTATTTATGCTCTTTCCATACATAGGTAT
This sequence comes from Homo sapiens, assembly GCF_000001405.40. Taxonomy (NCBI): domain Eukaryota; kingdom Metazoa; phylum Chordata; class Mammalia; order Primates; family Hominidae; genus Homo; species Homo sapiens. The sequence continues at coordinate 93,307,534 of NC_000013.11, read as the reverse complement.
GAGTGGTTTATAATTAGAATTATTATAATAACTATTTTATAAAGTATTTTGAGTATTTTTAACTTTTCCCCTTGCACACTAAATAACCATTGCTTGAACTTCCTATGTGGTTAAGATTACTAAGCAAGGATAAATTTCATCCCTCTTCCCATTTGATTCATCATAAAATCTGAATAACTTCAAGAGCCAGATAATGATATATTAATATATACATGTGAAATAACAATAAGAGTACATGATTCACTTTTCACAGGCAGGATTTAAGTTGATTAGGCACACATATGGCTATAATTTCACCCATACCAGAAATTACATTGTACTACTGCCATATATGCAACATCTTGTTAAAAATATGTATCTGTCAAATCTTTCTTTTTCTCCAATTCAGAATGAATAGTCGATTAAATATAAGAAAAAAATCTACAATTGGTTACCAATAGAAACTAGGATACCTCTTTCACTGGCAATATTTTAAAACAGAAAAGAAATAAAAAAATAAAAATTCAAAAATCATTTATTCAGCAGATTCTAAGCACCACTGATCTTCTAAGCTTCATTTATTGCTCTTCTAAGCACCATTATAAAAACTAGGGTTATAAAGACAGAACATGCTCCCTACCCTATTGGAACCGAGAGTTTGCTAGGGGACATGCGTATTTAAAATGAAAAAACAAATATGCTCTGTGTCAAAATGTAATATGAACCACACGCTACAAAATTACAAAGAATAGCTACTTAAACATATATTTTTGATCTGTAACTTCAAAAAATTGAATAGACTAAATGTCTAGATGAGATTCCTTTTATTCCCATGATTCAATAAATTTAGCTTTCTTTAAATCCTAAATGAATTAAGTTGTTTTGAAATATCAGATAATTTCATATGACTATCTAGGATATAGGATTTATTTGAAGTGAAATCCTAGATCAATCAGTTACATGAGATATTTAGCAACATTTTTTCCTCTGGTAAAGTACTAAATTTGTTTACTTTTGCTTTTAAGATTTAGTGATTATATTTTGTTGTCCCCTCTGAAATCTTTTTTTTTAGGAAAATAGATCACCAGATTGATCAAATCAGTCAAATAAAAGGGCTTTCTAAATGTATTCAAGATCCAGCTAAACAATGAATCAAACAAGTTGGCTCTATTTATATGCTGGCTGACAGACAGAATTTTCTCACACATAATCATCAGAAATCACTAAGAAAATATATCCAGTTCACCAAAATAGCAAAACCTTTGGATACAGTGTTTACTCTCATCATTAGCTTTAATCACATGCTTATTTCATTATCATTTGTCTTTACATTTCAATCTTTTACCATAAAATAATAACTATTTTGTTTGATATTCTGCTTCCACTTTGCACTTTTTAACAAGAAAAAGATGTCAATAACATACATTGGAATGTGACTGTTCAGTACCCCACTGCATAATTACTTTATGTGTCATACACAGCATGTTATAAACTCTGTGGATTAATATTCTAAACATAATTTGTACTGAATATACTAACCCTCCATTCATTTACATGGGAAACAAGCACATTTTAAAACTACCTTAATCTTTTGGTAATCTGCACTTTCTGCTCTTTGGTTTTAATATTTTATTTTCTAATATAGTTCAGTGCATATGGGAGGCAAAAAGTTGATTGCTTGATAAGCACATGTAGAAAAACAGGAGAAAAATAAAAGCAAATCTGGAAAGCAGATTGCTTGATAAAGTCATTTAGGAAATAGGAAACTAAAATCAAATCTGTATCGCTTTTCTGTACAAAATGCAATCTGAAAAGTTGGAAGAATAAAGTTTTTAAGCCATTCATAATACATCTGTGGGCCCTAATGCAAGACAACATATCTAGAAGAAAGGAAGTGAAAGCTGTAACAAAGAATAAACATTTAGGATGGAACAATATTCAAAAAATAAGAGACTTAATGCTTCCTACCTTCAGTAGTATCAGTAGTATCTCCGTGGCTCTTTCATGGATAGAGTTGGCATCGATTTGGATATCAGAAACAGATGGCTCTCAGCTCCCTCACTAATTCTATCATCTTCTGTAAATCTCTTAACTGTTCTGAGAAAAATAGCACCTGCCTCACAATAATCACCAATCCTGTTCTCCTATTTACTGCTTGTGGTCCCAGTACGACAGCAAACTGAGATACCCATCAGGTGCTGAGCAAGGGGTCTTATGTGTCTTTGCTCCTCAAAGCAGGCTGCTCATCATAATCACTAGAGAAGTTTTACAAACAAAACAAAACAAAACAAAAACACACACACAAAAAAAACGACTGCCTGGGTTCAACCCCAGAGGTACAGATAAAATTGACCTGAGGTGAGGCCAGATAGAGAGGACTCTTGTTTTATACTTGTTGGTTGCTTGTTTTAAACGACCCCAGGTGTGTCTGATGGGCAGGCCGTGTTAAGAGCTCCTGCTGGAACTCAAATGTAAATTAGCTGAATCCTGATACCATCACCTGCTCCAGCTGCATGACTTCAAACAGAAAGTAGAGAATGATCCTGTTGTGGATTTCAAGAATCTGAAGTTGAGGAATGAAGGCTGGAGGATAGAATAAAGAGGTGGGGCAGGAGGTTCTCTGCCAGCACAAAGGTAAGATGCCAAAACAGAGAAAGCCAAACATACTTGTATAGACAAAGACTCCCTCTTCAGCCAATTTTAATCAGAATCCCCCACCCACTCTCAACATAGCATCAAGCTCCTCATCCCCCAACCCTAAATATCTAATCAAGATCCTCTTAGTAATTCTCTATCCACTGACTCTCACTCTGCCCATTAGCTGTAAATCCTCACCTGTCTCTGTTGTATTTGGAATTGAACTCAGATCCATAGTGAAGTAGTCCCTCTTCCGTTCTGCAGTACCTCGAATGAAATCTGTCTTTGTGTCATTAACATGTGTCAGAATAATTTCTCAATAACAGTTCCTATGTTCTCCAAAACATAGTGAAAACTATGGAGAACTCAAATCCAGGTAGAAGTCTACATATGGAGCCACAGACTCTTTGAATCAAAGTGGGGAAAACCAAGAGGAAGTTAAGACAGAGGTAAATGTGGAAGATTCTAGAGATTTTCCAGAACTGTGAGCAGGGCCTTTGGAAAGCCAGGAGAGTGCCTAAAGACAAGGCTAGCAACTGCCATCTACCAGCAGACAAGCCAGCAGCAATTCTTTGAAAACCTCGCGCTGGCTGCACTGACTATGCCTCACAGCCTTGGTCACATGGAAATGTAAGCCCTAGGATAGAGTTTCACTGATGGCAGTGTTTCTTCTTTCCTGCAAAATCCCAACAAACACCTCCCCTTGCACTACACGTTTTAGAATGTCTTTCAATGATATTAAATAGTCTCTACGGCCAGGCGCAGTAGCTCACATCTGTAATCCCAGCACTGTGGGAGGCCGAGGCAGGCGGATCACAAGGTCAGGAGTTCAAGACCAGCCTGGCCAACATGGTGAAATCCCGTCTCTACTAAAATACAAAAATTAGCCAAGCATGGTGGTGAGCACCTGTAATCCCAGCTGCTCGGGAGGCTGAGGCAGGAGAATTGTTTGAACCCAGGAGGCGGAGGTTGCAGTGAGCCGAGATTGTGCCATTACACTCCAGCCTGGGCAATAGAGACTCCATCTCAAAAAAAAAAAAAAAAAATAGTATCTACATTGCCCAAACTGTCTCTATAAGCAAAATCCATCTTTTGCCTTTATTGAAACTCTATGGACGCTGCCTTGCTGCCTACTCAAATGTTCTTTTCTCACCCTAATTGAACCCTAGGATGAGAAAATGAGGCCGGAATTTTCCCCACTTTGTATTGTGAATCCATTATTAAATTATCTAAGTATTTAAAAAAATTGTATGTAATTCATCCATTTTATTTAAGAACCCTCTGCTCCTACCTGTTGTATCATCTACTAACCTCAAGCTTCCTCTGATTCATTGAAAACTTGACCCACACTCTTCTTCAACCCAAGTCTTCTATCACCTGGGGTTTATGCTGAAAGCTTTGGCATGGGTTGGGTTATTCGCATTTGATAATCTCAAAAACCTGTGAGAATTTATTTTTAAAGATATTACCACTAATAATAGTAATAGTAATGATTTAACTAGCACTCATTTTGTCAGCTACTGTCCTAAAGATTTCATGTGTATTAACTTACTTATTTTCCCAACAATCATGAGATAGGTATTCTTAAGGAAACCAAAGTCCGAGTAAACTGAGTAAGTGGCCTGAATTCATAAGGTAGTAAGTGGTGTGACCAGAATTTGAACTGTTGAAAAGGTAAACTGAGGGACAGTAAAATTTTAAAGTTTATGTGCACAAACAATTCATGAATCAGGTAGCTCCAAACCAAAAGTGGTTCTGGGGCTCCATTGAAGTAGTGTAAGAAACAGGCTTTTATAGACAGAATGTGGAAGTCATACAAAGAACTTATTTAACAGTCTATGGTTATACAGTTGCCTTCTTTGGTCTATCCCACTGGAGAGTCCCTAGTTATATAATTATAAGTTTGTTGGCTGTTTGTGATTCGTTTAGCTTATGTTCTGTTTTTCTTTTATATAGGCATTTATAAGAATTAGCTCAAGTTTTGCTTATGTTTGCAAATCTCCTAAGTAGAAGTGAGGTGACTGCTACTTAGGAGGCCCAGCTGGCTTTGTCTGCTCAGGGATTTTTCTTTAAGTGAATCAAAATTTATGGGATGGCAAAGCCTAACTTTTTTCCATTACGGTACTCTGCCTTCTCCTCACCAAATGCTATGCCTTGACTCCACTAGAAGAGATAGGATTGAGTCTCACACAAATACATTTCTTTTTTAAACTTCTGCTACAGGTGTTCTACCTACACTGAAAAGTGGATTCTAATGGCAGACAAGTTTGACTTCAGAAATTCCATTCAATCATGTATGTTTCCTGGTTTGCTAAAGATCTCTCTGATCCTGTGAAGGAAATCACAACTCCCCTCTGACATTCAGCCCTATAAATATCAAATTGTTATTTTAGAAACTTACACTATACCCAAACAATGCCAACATTTCATTATTTAAATGACATTGCTGCATACTGTCCACTGAATACAAAGTGCTATTCTTAAAACATACTCCAGGTTAAAACATGTATTCCACTACATGTGGAAATCCTTTGGAGAAGGATGTTAGGACTAGAGGGTAACCAGAATGCATGGATGGTATTCCAGAAATAGATGGACCATATGCCATTTCATCATTTACCAGTGCAAATTAAAGACTTTTACCATCAAAATGACAGAGGGCAATTAATAAGCATTGTCTCAGGCAGGAAACACACCAGATCCCACACGTTTTAAGATTTAATGTTTAAAATAGTAACATCTCACTAGCCAGAAAAAAAGTATCCTCACAGCATTCCCACATCCCATCCTTGCTCATAAACAGAGGCCCTCATAAAGCTTTGATTAACACTTTGTGTATTAAAACAGAGAAAAATATACAGTGACCCAATTGTGATCTTTTCAGAAGTTTGAATAAATTATATTTTATTATTGTATAACTAAACCAAGTCCTTAAGAAGAAGCTTTGTAGGGGTATTAAAATTGTGAATACAATCTTGTTCCTTACACTAGTAATTTCTCGTCATTATGCCAAATAATCCATCGGGGCTCTTCACGTGTTGCTCCAAGGAGGTCCACCATTTATAGACATCAAGGGAACCCAGTTGGTGTTGGATCCCAGCTGGACAAAGAAGACCGTCCACTAGTCAAGGCATGTCTTGGGATGTTTCTCTCCCAAAGGCTCCATTTGTAGGCTGGAGAAGTAGGAACTGTTAAGATGTCCTCCCAGTTACCCCCAAGCTATAAAGAAGCACATGCCTCCTAGAGATGACAGAAACAGGTTAAATGAGCCAGTGTTCAAATACCTGCCAAAATCAAATGGGCACTGGAGTATTCAAGACTATAGAAGGAGCAACAGTCTCCTTTCTGTACTTCTCCTTGTCCTTCCTCATGGCTCACCAACACAGACTGCATAAAATTAACTAACATCAACAACTGCAGGAAGCTCAGCATAGCTAATGCAAGAAGAGAGTAACTCTGGGAACTATGAAGAGTAATTAACATGGTGGTCCCATTCTCTGAAATAGTCTCTCTTCTCACCTCTCCTAGTCAAGCACATATATTGGTCCTAAATATTGTTTTCTCTTTGAAAACTTCTCAAGTTCTCTTCAGGAAGGACCAGTAGCACATATCCAAGCATCACCATTTTAGGACATGAGCCATCAATCTGTGATTATTTGTTTGCAGGAAGCACGAGATTTCAGACTCCAGGCACTTTGAAGTGGAGGATCCTGAGTTTTGCATTCCCATTATCAAAGACAGTAACAATTGGTTATTAGGTTCTCAAACATGTTTATTGAGTCAATGAATGCGTAAATGAGTTAGTAAAGCTAACATTAAGGAAATGTCTGCCAATGGAACCGGGTTGGATTTGAAATGGGTACAAGAAGTGAAGCAACAAGGTTTTCTTTTTTTTTTTTGAGACGGAGTTTCTCTCTGGTTGCCAAGGCCGGAGTGCAATGGCACAATCTTGGCTCAGGGCAACCTCTGCCTCCCGGGTTCAAATGATTCTCCCACCTCAGCCTCCCAAGTAGCTGGGATTACAGGCATGTGCCACCACACCTGGATAATTTTGTATTTTTAGTAGAGATGGAGTTTCTTCATGTTGGTCAGACTGGTCTCGAACTCCTGACCTCATGTGATCCTCCTGCGTTGGCCTCCCAAAGTGCTGGGATTACAGGCATGAGCCACCATGCCAAGCCAGTTTTCTTAAATTCTATATAAAGGAAAGAACTGATACCTCTATTGTCTCTACTCTTGGCCTCATTCCTATTCTTTTTTTTTTTTTTTTTGAGACAGAGTCTGGCTCTGTGGCCCAGGCTGGAGTGCAGTGGTGTGATCTCAGCTCACTGCAAGCTCCGCCTCCCGGGTTCACACCATTCTCCTGCCTCAGCCTCCCAAGTAGCTGGGACTACAGGCACCCGCCACCACGCCCGGCTAATTTTTTGTATTTTTAGTAGAGACGGGGTTTCACTGTGTTAGCCAGGATGGTCTCAATCTCCTGACCTCGTGATCCGCCCGCCTCGGCCTCCCAAATTGCTGGGGTTACAGGCATGAGCCACCGTGCCCAGCCTCCTATTCTTAAACCTCAATTCACAAAAGGAACTTGCTGAATTTACGAATAATAAAACCAATAAATTTTAATACTTATTTTCAGTAATGTAGTGCAAAGAAACAGAAATCTCAATGCAATGCTAAAATATAAACACCTGAAAAGCCATTAAGGATTTCACTAAACAGCTTTATATTCACCATATTTTCCTGGATGTACCCCTCCTACACACCCATGCATTACTGTGATTTGGCTGGGTGTTGTCACTTGTGTTATGTAAACGGTGACCTTGGCATGTATTTGGAGATAGAATATCTCTCTGCCCTGCAGGCTCACTACCTTATTTCATTGGGAGTAAAGATTTTCCCAGGTGCTGCTATGCTGCAGCTTGTTGTAGCTGTTGACATTAATTAATTTATGCAAATCTGCTAGATACTATCCTTGATTAATATCTTCCCTGCTTTATTAATTCTGAATACCTTAAGAGGCTGTTGGATATGTATGATGCAATATCTGCTTAGAGAATAACTACTCATACGATTAATTTAGACCCCGAAGAACAGTACTTGATCTCCTCTAGTTGATACTAGTAATTACATATAATTTATAACTTTAAAAAGAGTAACTGCACCAGAAATAAAACTAAGTTTTACAAATTTTCTACAAGTGGCATTGGCATATAACACTCTTAAAATAGCTATGTGAGTTTGCAATCTAAAAGTAATAGCAGAGAAAATGTAATGAGTGCCTACACTATGCCAGGCTCTGTGCTAATGGCTCCATATGCTTTAACTCTTAATAGAAGAATCCAACCAAGCAAGTGTGAGTGGCAGTTCTTGAATTCTAACCTTGACCACTGCAGGAGAACCCAATTCTTAACCATTATTTTAGGTAAATCAAAATAACTCAGACATTCAGCAACATTTATTATGGAATTCATGGAAGTCATTTTAGCGATCACTGTTCCTTCCACATTTTCATGTTTTCTGACTTTATTTAAATTAGTTCCTCCACTAAGTACTTAGCTTCCATGAAGGCTGAATTAATATATTACATTGCTCTGCACTGCCCACAAACATTCAAAACAGTAGTTTGTATTAAAAGTGGTTGTATTGATTGAATCTTTATGGTTAAAACATTTTCTGTCAATTTATTAGAAGTCAAAATCACTTAATTCCCCTCCTTAGATATTTTTGCAAGTGGCAGATAGTCACTTAAAGGTATTTATGAGATAAAAGGGAAGTGCTCATTACTAGAGAACCTATGAATTTTATGGAGAGTAGTGGAAACAAGATGTTGAAAGAAACAAATGACCCCATGAGATCATGTATTCAATAAATCTTTACTGAGTCCAAGGAACTGTAGTCCAGATGGTTGCATAAAATGCCTGCCACCAGAAGTGCACAATCTAATAGATGCAAGTAACAGAAGTGCAAAAATAACTATTACATGAGACACCATGTGACTAATTCCAAAAAAAAAAAAAACCCTAAGAGAAAAGTGCTACTGTGGTACCAACGGAAGGGATTGCATCTGCTTTGATCAGAGAAAGCTTGAGAGATACCTAACCTAGACTCCCAGAGAGAGAAAATCCACGTCAGGCAGTACGCAGGGGATGGTTTGAAAAAGACAGAGAAACCCATGGGGCGAGGTGACTCATGCCTACAATCCCAGCACTTTGGGAGGCTGAGGCGGGCCAATTGCTTGAGCCTAGGAATTTGAGACTAGCCTAGGAAAGATAGGGAGACCCCCATCCCTATAAAAAAAAAAAAGAAAAAAGAAAATATTAGGTGGGCCTAGTGGCATGTGCTAGTACTCCCAGTTACTGGTGAGGCTGAGATGGGAGGATCGCTTAAGCCCAGGAAGTCAAGGCTACAGTGAGCTGTGATGGCACCACTGCACTCCAACCTGGGTGACAGAGTGGGACCCTGTCTGAAAAACACAAAAACAAACAGAAACCCAAAGTGGTGTGCCTGCCTGCTAGAAGGACAAGGACTTCTCCAGTCCATAAGAAGACAGAAGAGGAAGAAAGCCTGGGAAGATAAGCAGAAGCAAAATCCTGAAATCTATGACTATTAAACTGAGGGACTGGGCTCTGATTAGAGTTTATCACAAAATATTTATAATAAATCTGGGTACATGCAAGATCTGGGGAATGGGGTGTGGTTGTCATTGCTGATGTTTGTATCTCAAAAATTATTTTACTTGAAAATGAGATCATTCTATGCATAGGCTCGTTCTTTCTGTGAGTGTGCATATCCACCTTATGGGAAGTGACTGATTTTTGGTCTGGCACTGCCTATGTCAGAATGTGTGACTCTGGAAAATCACTTTACTGCTTTCTCTTTCCTCCAAGTACTTCATGTATAGGAAGGGAAGATTAGTCTAGGTGAACCTAACATTTGTTACTCCATATTTTATCAAGCCAATTGTGGTGACAGCTGTATTGTAAGACAGAGGGATTGCTTTTGGGAAGACTCAGGTCAAGTATGATCTCCCCATGAAGGCTCTCCCCACACCCTACTTATGTCCCATCGCATTTTCTTCATTTATACAAACTCATGTGAGTCACAACGTCTTTAGTCTCAAGTTGTTCCCTACCTAGAGAGAAGACCATACGTAATTACAACTTAAGACAGTGGTAAGCAGCAAACAGTGGTACAACCAAATGATAAGGAATTTCTGGAGGAGGTGACATTTTAGCTGAGGTGAAGGGGGGAGGGTGGGGAAAATCATTTTGTTTTTTACTTTTTACTTTTTGTTCTGTTAAAGACAGGGTCTTGCTCTGTTGCCCAGTGGTGCACTCACTACTCACTGCAGCCTCAAACTCCTGGGCTTACTCAATACTCCTGCCTCAGCCTCCCAAGTAGCTGGGACCACAGGTGCACGCTAACACACTCAGCTAATTTCTTTTTTTATTTTGCATTTTTAAGAATTAAATTAAATTTTAAGTTCTGGGATACATGTGCAGGTTTGCTACACAGGTAGATGTGTGCCATGGTGGTGTACTGCATCTATCAACCCATCACCTGGGTATTAAGCCCCACATGCATTAGCTATTTATCCTGATGCCCTCCCCCATGGTAGGCCACAGTGTGTGTTGCAGAGATGGAGTCTCACTAAACATAGAACCAAACATAGTGCCAAGGCTGGTCTTGAACTCCCGGCCTAGAAGAAACATTTTACTTAGGTTCTTTTAGCTGTGAAGAACAGTCTCACTGAATTAATTTTAAGGTAGGAGGGTAGAGTAAGGGATTAATATAAGGATGCACATACAAGGGAACCCAAGAAAAGCCAAATCACACAGCCTCAAGGAACGCATCTGGCGGCTGAAGCTGAAGGACAGGGGCTCACTGTCTAACTCCAGCCTACACGTGACTCAGCTTCTCTTCAGTTGTTTCCAACCATCCCTCCTCACTGTCAAGTGGATTTCTGACCCTGTATTTGGCCTATCTTTTGTCTACCTCATGGCTGCTCCTCCATGTTTGAACCTCCTCATAACTTTGGATGGCTACGACTCCTGAAGGGTCCACCTCCACCTCGTACCTGAGGCATTCACTGACTAAGTCACTGTGCCATGAATCATTGTTCTCTCAGAATGAGATGTCTGCATGGAGAGTCCCAAGAGAAAGGGAACTTGATTGGCCCAGCTCATCTTTTAATGCCTATGTAATGCCTCCTCATGGCTCAGATGCCCCCACATAGTCCAGTTAGTTGTTTCTGGAGGTAGAGGAGAAGGAATGGAGACTATGGGACATGGAGCTGTGCCAGCCACTGTAGTAGGGAAGGTGGGAAAGGCAGTCCCTTGAGAGAGGTACGGATATGGAAGGCTTTTGTCATGTCCAGATTACAGAGTCTCAAGCAGAAAGAACATCAGGTACAGGAGGCAGGAAAGAAAGAGGCATGGGTGAGTAATTACGAGTTTAATCCAGTCAAGGCACAGCATGTGACAAACAATCCCAGGCACCTATGTAGGACATTGTATTAAAAGAAGATAAATTAAGGTAGAAAGATTCTTTAGGAGCCTACTGCCATAATCCAACTGAGAGAAAATGAAGATGAAAACCTAAACAAAGACAGTGACAGTGGTACTAGAGGGAAGAAGGAGGGTTTCAGAGGAATTCCAGAGGTAGAATATACTAGACTACATCATAAATTAGATGTGAGAAATAGAGAAAAGTCAAATAGGACTCTCAGGCTCCTAATTTGTGCAAAAGGCAGTGCCATTAATTGAAATAGAAATGGAAAGAGAAGTGCTACAGGCTGAATATTTCCTTCCCCACAAAACTCATATGTTGAAATCCCCCTGTTTTAAGAGGTAGGAGGACCTTTGGGACATAATCAGGTCATGAGGGTAGACCTCCCATAAATGGAGTGAGTGCCATTACAAAAAGGGAGCTTGGGCCTGGAGAGGTGGCTCACGCCTGTAATCCCAGCACTTGAGCCCAGGAGTTCAAGACGAGCCTGGCCAACATGGTAAAACTCCATCTCTACCAAAAATACAAAAAAAAATTAGCCGGCCATGATGGCACACGCCTGTAATCCCAGCTACACTGGAGGCTGAGACATGAGAATGGCTTGAACCCAGGAGGCATAGGTTGCAGTGAGCCGACATGGCACCCACTGCACTCCCTCCTGGATGACACAGGAGCCCCAAGGTGGGCGGATCACAAGGTCAGGAGATCGAGACCATCCTGGCTAACACAGTGAAACCCCGTCTCTACTAAAAATACAAAAAAATTACCCGAGCGCAGTAGCAGGCGCCTATAGTCCCAGCTACTTGGGAGGCTGAGGCAGGAGAATGGTGTGAACCTGGGAGGCGAAGCTTGCAGTGAGCCGAGATCGCGCCACTGCACTCCAGACTCTGTCTCAAAAACACACACACACAAACAAACAAAAAACAAAACAAAACAAAACAAAAACCACAGAGACAGACAGAGAACTTGCTTTTTCGATCTCTTCTGGCCTCCTGATCTCAGACTTCCAGCCTCCAGAACTGTGAGAAATCAGTTTGTTGTTTAAGCCACCTAGTCTATAGGATTCTTTTGTTCTTTTTCTTTCTTTCTTTTTTCTCTTTTTTTTTTTTTTTTTTTTTTTGAGACAGGGTCTCCCTGTACCACCCCAGCTTCTGTGCAATGGCACGACCACTGTCTGCTGCATCCTCAACCTCTCTTGACTCAGGTGATCTTCAGCCTCAGCCTCCTGACTACTGGGACTACAGGCACACCGCCACAATGCCCAGCTAGTATTTGTATTTTTTTTTTTTTTTTTTTTTTTTGCAGAGACAGAGTTTCCTCATAATCACCCTGGCTGGTCTCGAACTCCTGAGGCTCAAGCAATCTGCCCACCTAGGCTTCCCAACATTCTGGGATTACAGGCACAAGACACCACGCCAGACCTAAAATTTTTTTCTATAGCAACCTGAACTGACTTAACCAGGAGATTTCAAGAAAACAAATGAAAACACAATGAATGTGGGAGAGAAAGAGAATGAGTTCAACTCAGGCCAAATTTAAAATGGCTGATGTATGTCCAAGCAGAATAATCAGTAGGTAGTTGGATACGTGAGGCTGAAGCATTGAGAAGAGTCTGGGCCAAAAATAAAGACACAGTGACCATTCATAGTTACATTAGATAGAACTCTCGGAAGGGTGTGAAAGAGGACAAAACATAGAAAACTGACTGGGGTTTTCAGATCTTTGTTATTATGTACACATTGCTGTGCTATGGATGCAGGTGTGCATTATCTCCCCCACTAGACTCTAAGCAACTTCGAGACAGGCAATGCCTCTTTGTTTTCTTGGTGTACTGAGTGCCAAGCATACGGTATGGTAACAAAACAGAAGAAGGAAATGCATGAACTACCTTACACAGGCACCAAATCAACTACTTCCTGAGGGAAAGGGAGATTTGTTTTGTCTTTTTTGCAGGGGCAGGGGATGGGGGTGGATAGTGGGGGAAGAAGTTATTAGGAAATTTGGAATCATTATGAAGTAATGACTAAATACTAAATAACAGATTCATTATTAAAGAATCCATGTATCAAAGATATTCATTGTTTCAGCCAAATAACCAAATAACCAGATTATGTCTTTGGGAAAAAAATTATTATTATTTTCTTATTGAAGGCCTGGGTAAAGGATAGAAATGTAGACATTTGTCAAAACTAAATTGTATATATAATATTTGTGATTTTTACTGTAAATAAGATACTCTCAAATAAAAAATATCTTTGGAGAAAGGGTATCCAAATAGTGAATAGAAAATAATTCACTATTTCTTGTTTAAATTTCCCAACAAATACCCATTTATTGAGCACACACTTAGATCCTTTATTGTGTGGTGAGAATATATTAAAACATCACTGTGACAAAGTTCTTATTCTCAAGGAACTCACAGTTTAGGGTTAAGCTAGACATGAAAAGGGATCATTACAATGGACGATAATTGAAGTAAGAATAGAGTGCCAAGGGTCAAACACAGCTGTATAAAGAGGTTGCAATCTTTTTTGTCTCCCCTGTGCTCCTAGTTGAGATGCTTAGAAGGAAATGAAGCTGAAAATCTCACTTCCTAAACTCATGAATGAATACATCACCAGAACTCTGTGTACTAATTACATGTGTAGCTCATTACAAGAGACATGGGCAAAAATAGAATGAAATGATTTAAAAAATGGGCAAAAACAAAATAAAACAAATTTTCAAGATAACAATAGTGTGCTATTTAGTGTGCCTCCTTCAAACACAATCAATGACACTGCATTCCATTATATAAATCACCCATCCAGGGGAAAAGTGGAAGGGGATAATAAGGCAGAGTTAGCTACTTTAAAAAATGAATATTAGAAATTGTCCATTACTCAGATAATCTTACATTTTCACAAATCACAAGTTTAATTTCTACTCACACTCAACAACTCACCCTAAGTACTAAACAATCTTTAAAAATGTAACAACGTTTCAAGTAACATAGTTCTAACTAACAAAAACAGATATCAGATTAATTTCTGGAAAAGGAAATCTCCTATAGAAATTAGATTTTTGTTTTCTGAATTTTTATTGAATTCAGAAAAGGTTTCCCAAACACTATATGAGGTTATTTTTTTAAGTTAGGTAAAGAGGCATAATTTTTAATTGTTTTTTTCCCCCTAATACCGAGACACTACAGCTACTCACGAAAGGAACTTCTGACCAGCCTGGGCAACATGATGAAACCCTGTCCCTACAAATAGAAAAAAATTAGCCCGAGATGGTGGTGTGTGCCTGTAGTTCCAGCTACTTGGGAGATGGAGGTGGGAGGATGGCTTGAGCCCTGGAGGTCAAGGCTGAGCCATGATTGCACCACTGCACTCCAGTCTGAGTGACAGAATGAGAACCTGTCTCAAAAAATAAAAATTAAAAAAAGGAACTTCTACCTGGAATATAACTAGACACACTGGCCAAAGATAAGGTTTAAATATGAGTGTCTTTAGCCAGGCCTGCTAGTCAATGAGGCAAATAAACTTTTATCAACCCATTTCAAATTGTTTTCTAGAAAATCTTCTGGTACATGGTTAATTGTAGAAATTGACACCTACTAAAGATTTAAATACTGTATATTTGAATACTAAATGAATATGGGTATAAAATTATCTTAAGTTTCTTACTATAGGGAAAAGAATGATGGTAATTATACATTTAAAGTAATTGTGTATTTTAATCACTAAGGGTAAATTAACTACAGAAAAGCAGATTTACTTGTATTACAAACACATCAATACACTCTGTGTAAATTTCACAACCCATTTATTCCATAATATGTTTATTCTGCTTGACATACATATATACAAGCATGTAATATCTGCCAAGTCATGGAAACGCTTTCTTTAAATATTTGTGAGCATATTTATAAGAGTACCATATAATTGTTAACATTTTCTTGTTTGGGTTGTTGTATATATTTTGAGATACTCTTATTATTTTACCTTTTCATTTCTTAAAAAGTCTAGAATTCCTCTCAATTCTCAAAAGAAAGCATCTCTCCCTTAAAGATCTTTCCACTGAAGATGAGTTGCCACTTGCATAGGGCACCAAATCATGAATCTTCCTAAAAGTATTCACATGAGGTAGAAGTTACACATTCACTGGAAAGCCTTGCATTATTTTCTGCATTTTAAGGGCACGTGACATCTCAATTTCCACCCTCTTCATAAAATAAACAAACACACAAACTTTGAAATACAATAAAGCTATTAGTTAACCACTGGCAAGTTTGCTACAAAATGGCTTATCAATGATGAATTTGCCTTTTGATTTATTTATCATTGTGAAATACTGTCAACCCTCATTTACAAATTAGAATTCCTAAACCAAACTGGTAAAACTGAGATTCTTAAATTGAACAAAACTATTAAATGCTATACTGTAGCATTAAATATTTACAGCATTTTAACTTTTATATTTTTGTATGTAACACTGAAAATTTTTATAATGGCTTTTGTTCTAATTTGCATATTGAATATACAAACGCTGAACAGGAGAGAAATTAAAAGAAGTGATGTCTTTTCCAAGTTAAAATCTCTCTGGATGGGAAATACCACTACACACTCTATTAATGTTGTTCCTCCGAAGGTATATGCTGGATATGTTTGCTCAGACTCGTTTTAACTTGACCAGAAAATGATGGAACATTAGTTCATTTTTAATATGATTGCTATAGGAATTATATTTCAAAAATGAAATGACAGGTGAACAGACCTGGTAAAATGCAAATGGGATTAAAATACTCAGGCGATGGCTAGTATAATTTGCTGTTACCTAATGACAAAAATTACTGGCTGAAGAAATGAGCTACTTAAACTATAATAAAATAAGTAAATTATTCTAAGGCTCCAAGTAGAAGAAATACATAACGAAGAGGTTGAATTTTTACACTGAACTTTGAGAAACCCCAGTTTTAGCCTCTTTGTTTTGTTCAGAAACCCACTGAGTAGCAGTGTCTACGATACAGTGGGTAAAGCAAGGCAAAACAGCACTGTATAACCACACTTAAATATAGAAAATCTGGTTGAAATCAAGAGACAATGGCATTGTTTGAGAAGAGATGGTGGCTCTGTCACTTGACTCATACTGCCAGCACTAAGGCAAAAATAACAAACTTATGGGTCAAATTTCTAAGCAGAGGTCTGGCCATCAAGATGTGGATGAGAGAGAAATTATCAAACTATTAACTATAAAAGAGTTTATAATCCCTTGGTCTAAATGTCAGTCTGCCTGCTTCAACCTACATCAATGCCATACTATGTCAGCATTCATATCAGCCATCATTTGTCTAATTTTAAGTAGAGATGCCTAATTAATTTTCCTAATAGACGATGCTTTGATGAGTTTCTTTGCCCAAATGATCAGTCGTAATTAGTAATTCTGGTTACAAAAAATATGCAGAAGGCATTTAAAAATCACCATTATGAGACATTAACCAGGCTCTAACCATAATATTGAATACACTTTTTAACATAATGGCTGTTTTTATGCATGTCTTTTTATATTTCCTTAAATACATTTTATTCTCCTTAGCAAATGGATTCTTCATGGCCAAGTTACAAATCTAGGACC
The DNA here is from genome assembly GCF_000001405.40 of Homo sapiens. NCBI lineage: Eukaryota > Metazoa > Chordata > Mammalia > Primates > Hominidae > Homo > Homo sapiens. The sequence goes on along the minus strand of NC_000013.11, from coordinate 93,290,794 downwards.
ATATCATGTATAGAGATAAAGTTATCATGAGATCAGTATGGTTCTCAGAAGTTTCATTTTTTTCAAAGGTTGGAACAAATGACTCATCAAAGTTATACTAATTTTCACAGCAGTGGGCAGTATATCTTTATGCACAGAAGTCTGGTGTGAAATGCATTTAGTCAGGCTGGGTGATGATAATTCCAGTAATGGGGAGGGGAAGGGGATTCCTCTAATCTATGTTGCTTTGAAAATCAGATACATCAAAGATCATTATTTGTATAAAATTTCCTGAGTAACTGCAGAGTGAGTATCATTGAGACTTCAACCAAATTGTTTGATTACAATAAAATGAACCAATTTACTCGTTTTATTGTCTCCATTTTTTCCCTCATTGCTAAAAAGAAAAATAAGAACGTAAGGGTGGATAGTTGTATAGTGCATATTATCACTGAATTTCTGGACAGATTGTGGAAATAGTTCTTAATTGATATGCCCCAGCGTACAATATCATCCCTCTATTCTCTTGTTCATTTGTGTTATTTTTATTTGATTTTAACCCAGCAGCCACTGCCTGCATTTGTCCTTTTCATGGTTTAAAAAAGTCACAGGCAAACATTCTTTATTGGGGCAAGCATCTAGATGACCTGACAAATTTGCACCTGAACCTTATCAAGTCAGCAAATGGTTCTGCATGATTACCAAGAGTCTCGTTACATTAACCTCCTTGCTTCATTTAGAGCCCAGACCAAACACTATGAAACAAAAATGAGTAATCCTTTGAACTGAGTAAAGAAATTCTACCATATTCAGTTTCTTGCTAAGTGCATGTTCAAGTGATGATACTAACAGAAAATGTCTCTTTACTCTGTGAGTCCATGTGCCATAAAATAGTATTTTTCAAAAGAGGAGCTATTTTTCCATGCAATATCAGCCTCTCATGACCAGTACAACAATTCAGAAAATGTAAAAGAAGTTTCAATATTTATTTTCAGACTGTGCTGCTCACCTTTTACTCCTGAAAGCAATGACAGCTGTATACAATAAACAAATCCTTTTATATAAATTGGAATTCACATACATCTCAAACGGCTCAAAATAAAATAAAATGTGCCTGACCCTCTTGGTAGGATTTGATCCTCTAAACTGAAAGGCTGAACTGTGCATACAAGTTTTATCAACATAGGGTAAATTTTTCCCTATACATATATCTTTGTCTATAAGTGGATATGAAGATATACATATATTTATGTTAGTAATTTCGGCATATAAATATTTATATACTACATATAAATTGTTCTGCATTGCATTATTTTTCTTAAAAAGAGATCGACACTTTTCCTAATACTACTTTTAAATGCCTCTTTTGTTTCACTTTTTGATTGTCTTTCAGTGTACCAAAAAATAATCAATTTGAGGACATCATATTTCCAGAATATCTATCTCTATTCTCACGTTTTGAAAGTCTTTTGAGCCCTAGGGCACATACTACTATTTGCATTTTACGAATTGGAGTACTGGAGTGAAGGCAGATTAAATGAGTTGGGAAAGAATATGAGTCAGGCATTCTGACTCCCAGGTTAGGGTTCTCCCCTTGTCTCCTGCTGGTGTGCATTAAAGACGTTGCAGTGTTAGCATTAATAAAGTCATCAGTATTAGTTACACTAAGGCTTCAATGTGGTACCGATAAAATCCAGTTATGGGTCAGTATAACATCCCTATCTGTGGCAATTGTCACTCTTAACCCTGGTCTCTTCTCTTGCTTCCATCTTAGACCAAAATGAGGACTTCCCCACATAGTGAAAAGACCATATTCAGATTCTCATTTCACTGCTCTCATTGTCATAACTCTTCAGTTGCTTGTTTAATTACTGTAACTGGCCTGTGGTTGTAGACTGCCCTATACAGGTCTGTATGAAGATTTACATTTACTCATGAAGTGGTTTAACCACTTTGCAGAAAACACCTGTAACCCCTTCAATCACCTTAGTGGGCTAAGTATTTATTGCTGAGCCTCCATGCCTGCAGGTTGCCCTACAAAGCACTGAAGGTCACTCATTGGTTATCCAGACATCATCAATTTTTTGAATACATATTAATTAAAATTTGGCAAAGCATGTTTATTCCCTATACAACAACTTTTATTTCCAGATATTTTTATAAAGTAATACGAAGTGATAATACTGACAGCCTTTTTATGTTTTATGAAGTGCCTTTTTAAAAAATTGGAGAAAAGTTTCATCTTACATACATCTAAATATCACAAATCCTTTTAATAAAATCTCTCTTAAAAATATTCTTTCATCATCAAAGGACCCTTAGATTAGAATCCCTGAATACCAAAACAGAAAGAAAAAAAAGAAAGTTTTAAAGACTTTGAGGAGATGTTAATGTTAATTAAATCTCTTTTATCTGGATTGATTAGTGTAATTCATTATTCACTACTCCTCTGGACAGATGTGTTAAATTACAGTTGATATAGAACACTACTGAGAGCTTATTTGATCCCATTTCTTCAGGATTTAAAATATCCACACTTGAAATTACAAGATAACACACAGATTTCTAAGGTGTTTTCCTTGATCAACATTTTTTAATATATTCAAGCCCAGATGGTTTTGATTGTCTTATTTTGGAGAGTTTCTGCTAATTATTTTTAATTATTTCAATTTTATAAGTATTACTTTGTAGTTTCAAAGGATTGGAATATGAGAACCTCTGAAACTAAACAGCTCACTCTAGATAATTCACAGATACATTTTATTAAAAGGGACATTAGTAAATTTTACTTAAAATCAAAACCGATGAAGCTTAAAAACAGTTTAACAAAATGCAATGAAATCAAGAGATTGCTTAGGAGCAAATCACGTTGATGATATCCACTTGCTATTATTAAACAGTTTTCCCTACAGGGATATTGGACCAAAATTCAAATTACAACAAAAAAAACCTTTAAAAAAAACATAATTTCCTTAAAAGTAGATTATTTTAATTGACAATAAACTTCTAACGCATTTGCAAATAATCCTTTAATATATCATTTAACTGTGCAAGAATCAAACATATGGATCTCATTTCCCCCCGTAATACACATGGTTTTAAAAATTAAAGGAAATATCTTTAGTAAAATGTGTTGCAGACTCAATTACACCTTCTAATATTTGAAAAATAGTTTGATGTGTTTTATAAATGCAATATGTGCTACATTCCTAATCATTACTCAATTGCACATCTCCTCTCTCATATCTTTTGAATGGGTTGAAGTGATGATAAGTTCTTCAAGATGAAACAAAGGCATGCCCAGTAACATAAGAACCACACTGGCATTTCCAAGAGTAAAGAAAGATCTGGATGAGTTGCTGGCCAATTCCTGGGTGAGAACAGACACCAGGCGGGGAGGCCTCCTGCGAGAATCGGCCTCACCCCAGAACCAGCTTTTCACACTCCTTGGTGGCCAATGTCCCTGCCTCTATGTCATTGGCTCACTTTTGGCCAAAACACTCTTATGGAATCCTCTGTTCTCATTGGCGACTTTTTAAATGATCTAGACATTCTTATGAAGCTATAATTAAATTTCTCAGTAGGCTCTTTTATCTTATGCAGATTGAACACCCCTTATCTGAAATGCTTGGGACCAGAATGTGGACCCAAGGTTTCAGACATGTTCAGATTTTGTAATATTTGCATATACATAATGAGATATCTTGGTGGGGGTCAGACCCAAGTTTAAACATGAAATTCACTTATGTTTCAAATATGCCTCATACACATAGTCTGAAGGTAATTTTATACACTATTTTTTAATAATTTGTGCATGAAACAACGTTTGTGTATATTGAACCACCGGAAAGCAAAGGTGTCTATATCTAACAATTTTCCACTTGTGGTGTCATGTGGGAACTCAAAAAGCTTGGAATTTTAGAGCATTTCAGGTATCAGATTTGGGAATGCCAATGTTCAACTTGTATCACTAAACACTAACAGCATCAGGAAAGAAGGAAGGGAGAAAAGGAGGGACAAAAAATTCAGAATGACTTCACTTTCACCGCCACTCCCTAAGTGCTCAGAAGGCTGGTAAGTAAAGCTGTCTTCTTGGGCTGTTTCCTTGGGATATAAAACTTAGTGACCTCTGCCACCCCTTCCCTACAAGGAGTCAACGGTCAGACCACTCTGATAAGATGCACAGAATGCCAAACTTCTGTTTTTAATAATGTAAAAATTATCAGAACACAAATTATAGAGGAGTGTTTAAATCACAGACTGATACATCCTTCTTCAACTTGGTAGGAAAGACATTTTACAAGATGTGTTAGAGTCATTAACAGCATCTGAATACCAGGCCCTCCAGCTCCCCATATCCTCTGAGCTTTGTTCTGCCTCAAATTACATTGGGACTGCTTCTCTGAGCTCACTAATTCAACTGGATCCTTTGTGCCTAGGTTGTTAGCATAAGGACTGATCTTGAATTATAGTTCCTATAATCCTCACATGTCATGGGACCGAACAGGTGGAGATCACTGAATCGTGGGGGCAGCTTTTCCCATCCTGTTCTTGTGATAGTGAGTTAGTTCTCATGAGATCTGATGGTTTTATAAGAGGCTTCCCTCTTCACTGGGCACTCATTCTCTCTCCTGCCGCCCCATGAAAAGGTGCCTTCTGCCAGGGTTGTAAGTTTCCTGAGGCCTCCCCAGCTATGTGGAACTGTGAGTCAATTAAACCTCCTTCCTTTGTAAATTACGCAGTCTCAGGTATGTCTTTATTAGCAGCATGGGAACAGACTAACACAAGGACTAATTGTAGATTTGGCACAACTCTGAAAACACTTCCTGTCGGTGTTCCAGGTTTCTTCTCTCAACAGGCTGACAAATTCTAATACCTTTAAATATGCCTATTATCTCCTAAATTTTTAAATCTGTATTTCTCATGTAAGTTTGATTTTATGTAGTATACATTAATATTGACAACTTCTATATAAGAATATCTATACTTCCACAATTTTTAAATGTCTTCAAAAGCAGCAATTTTGTTCCTATAATTTTCATACTTTTTGACATGACTTAGAAAAAGCTATCCTGAGTTTTGCTAACTATTTAACCTGGGTTTTAAAAAGATATAATTATTATTACTGTTGTTTGACTGCCACCAAACACATACACACACACACACACACACACACACACACACACACACACACACACAGCAGTATATACATACACATACATCCCAGGAAAAATAATTTCTCAATTTTGGGTGGGGAAAAATTATACAAATTGGCTTTTTGAAAACAAGGTAAAATATGTTAAATACTGTATATAAACAAAACCATGATTTGTAGTCTAATTGACAAACTAGGACTACAGTGTGCACAGACATCATTGCTTGGCTTACGAAATTACTTCCTATTCCAGATATTAGTAATATGGCATGGTAGTAAAGATTGTCATTTTTCCCAGTTCAAGAAAAGAGTATCTGTCTGCATATTTACTTTTTAATCTTTATATAACTGAAAGACAATTCATTAATTAAAAATACAGTGTCTTAAAATGAAGAAGCTATGGGTAATAGGATTACCACTAATTTGTACTTTCCTCTCTGTATATTTTAAGTTTCAAAATTCTTTACAACAGCACGCATTATTGCAGGGATAAAGACTAACGTGCATAACAGAACTCACCGGAACTCACTGGACTTAAACCTCTCCCTGTCCCACTATGTAATCCAGTCCCAATCCTGGTGGCTTCCATTCATTTCCTCAAAGGGGCCTTTACCACATTCAGCCTAAGAGCCTCTGCAGCTCTTACTCCCTGTGCCTTGAAGCTTCTCCTTCTACTCCCTCTTTACTTAGTTAACTTCTATTTGAACCTTCAGCTCAGTAAAGATATTACTTTGCCAAGAAGGCCTTTTCTCATTTCCCAGACCATATAACAACCTCTGATAAAGACTCTACATTATCCTCTACTTCCCTGGGGCAGCAAGATTGAAATATCTACTAGTACATTATGTTCATTATTATTGTACTTATCTAAGCCATCAATTCCACTAAGCTGTTTTGATCAACACTGTGTCTCCAGCACTTGGCACACAGTAGGCACTCACTGAATATTTGTTGCCATAAATGGAGTGAATGTCTTTGTTATATGGTAAATCAGTTTTGAGATGTACATATTTACTATATGATTCTTGGGCATGTCTGAGGTTAGAAAAGTGCTACACAAATGCTCTATATAAACAGCTTCACAAAAATCTGACAAATATATGAAATACAAGGGCTCATATCAAACAGTGTCTCCTATTACTGACAATACTGCAAGTGAATAAAGAGAATACCAAATGACTACAGTGTACATACTAAAGAATTTCATTTGTTGAGACATTTCTGTTCATTAATCCTGATAAAACTATTAAATATTCTCTGTAGCTCAGACAAAGCAACTAACTACTGGTATAAATCTTCATAAGCCTCTAAAAGGACTTAAAGGACATAATAAACCCTATTTGTAAGACATACACATGATTTGAGGCTGGCTTAGTTTGGGTGTCCAATTAAAATTATTGCTAACTGCACTGCTGCCGTGCCCTAAGGGATTTTCTTCTGATACTCCAACTCAGTGCCCCTGTTATTTTCTTGCACCATAAAACTACACCCTTTTAAATATAAAATCAGATGCACTTGCTTAAAAAAGCAATAAACTATATGTTTTAATCTGCCATCTGCAAGAAGCCCAACTTATTACAAATGTATAAACAAAGCTAGCACAGTAAACTAACAACATTCAATACAAGTGTTGCCCTGAGAGAATGTGAGCCTTTATGTACAGTTGTCAATTCTAGATTGTCCACATCTTAGATTATCCACTTTGTGAGTTTTCCAAAAGGAATGTGAAATTGTAAGTGGGCTTTCTGTAACCTGTTTGCTGAGTTATGTACCCCTCCACTCCATAAGTTGTTTCTGGGGTTTAGGAATGCCAATTAAATATTAATCAAGTGAAGAGAAATATCAGGATGTGAATCAATGTAATAACAGCACCCATATCTATCCAAATATATGAAAACATATATAAGGTCTCAAGTTAAATGTTTTAACTTTTTGTATTACTTGCAGTTTGGGATTATTCACAAAAGTGATCTGTAGTCTGTTATTACGTGTAACTAAACAGAGACCGCACATGTAATTTCTCACATTCACCAAACTGTGTACCTGTCCCTTTTGGCTTTTGGGTGTTTTGTTCTTTGCCAATAATGAAAATTGGCATGCCACCATTCCAAGCAAATCCACTGTGTTTGGGTGAGACCATTTGTCATATGAGTTTAGATCTGTTGGTCATTTCTCACTGGTCTGCAGCAATGCTGATATTCATCTGTTAACTCCCTAATGAATTACTGATAGCAGCCCGTAGTAGCTCAAGCCCAGATGAACTCATCTCTTATTTTCTTGAGAAAATTGAGGCCATCCTATGCGACCTTACCTTAACATTTTGTTTTTCTCAACCGCAAAATTTCAACTTCCCCTGTTTTTAGCTCTTTTCTATGAGAAAAAAAGAATCATTCCTTGTTCAAGGCTAACTAAAGATAAATAAGATAGGAAAAAATAGAGCAGATGGGAAGGCTGTTCAAGCAGGGATGAGCAGTGCTAAACCCTCTTCCACCATAGCAGGCAATCAATAGGTAATACTAAAAAATTTAAAATCAAAATGTAGCAAAATGAGCATATTGTTTAGAGATTTGAATTAATTACCAAAAGAACCATGTAAAAGAGCTTAAAGTGATTATCTCCATGGAAGGGGGAGAAAGGGATGATGGCAGTGATTTTTCTGTGTAAAATATTTGATTATTTAAAAAATTTAAAATCAAAATGTAGCAAAATGAGCATATTGTTTAGAGATTTGAATTAATTACCAAAAGAACCATGTAAAAGAGCTTAAAGTGATTATCTCCATGGAAGGGGGAGAAAGGGATGATGGCAGTGATTTTTCTGTGTAAAATATTTGATTATTTAAAAAATTTAAAATCAAAATGTAGCAAAATGAGCATATTGTTTAGAGATTTGAATTAATTACCAAAAGAACCATGTAAAAGAGCTTAAAGTGATTATCTCCATGGAAGGGGGAGAAAGGGATGATGGCAGTGATTTTTCTGTGTAAAATATTTGATTATTTAAACTGTGTTTATGCATAACTTTAAAACTAAAATATTCCTTCATTTTAGTAAAAATTAATCTCCCTATTTGCTCTGTTCTTCTTATATTTAAGGAGAGTAAGTGGAGAAAAAATTGGCAAGAAGCTTTTTTTTTTTTCACTGTAATTCATTAGATCAGCTAAGTTGGGAGGAAGGGAAATTAAGGAATTTTTCATACAATACATACCTGCTCTCTTCCTAGGTTCAAATCATACTGGGGGCGGGGTAGGGAATTCAGAATCTGGGAAGAGAGGATGAGGGGGTTTGGTATGAAAATTTTCCCCAAGTTATTCTGATGGATCCCCCTTAGATAAGGACCTTTCTCCATGCTAAGGACAATTTTAGCAAAATAGTCTTAGGTTTGCCTCTTCAGCTCAAGGGAAAGGAATTTTTGTTTCTTTCACCTTCTACTTCACAAAGCTTTCAAATTCTGATTGTCCTATGAAAAACAATGTAAAAATATTCACTTCAAAACATTTGGTCCCAAGAAATAATATAACTTGGATGTTATGTTCACAGGCTGTAAAAACTTCCTAGTAAATGTTCAATCCAAAAAACAACTTTGCAGTAAATATTACTTAATTCGATTTCACTGAGGGTGGCTTTATCAGTACACATATAAAAGAATGAAAATGAGAGGCTAAATTGGTCCTTCGCACCTCACCTTTTTACCTTTCCATCAGCGTCAAGAAATAAACTCAAAAGCAAATGTGAGAAAATGTTCATCTTTTTTGTCTACGTATTGAATTCAAAATTTTCCTAATTCAGTGGTTTCAGAATAGGTGCATATTGGAGTTCTGTTCTTTCTTTTTTGTTTTGTTTTTTGAGATGGAGTCTCACTCCGTCGCCCACGCTGGAGTACACTGGCATGATCGTGGCTTACCACAACCTCCGCCTCCCAGATCTGGCAATTCTCCTGCCTCAGCCTCCCAAGTAGCTGGGATTATAGGTGCCCACCACCATGCTTGGCTAATTTTTTTTGTATCTTTGGCACAGACAGGGTTTCACCAGGTTGGTCAGGCTGGTTTTGAACTCCTGACCTCAGGTAATCCACCTGCCTTGGCCTCCGAAAGTGCTGGGATTACAGGTGTAAGCCACTGCGCCCAGCCATTCTTTTCATTTAAAGTAACATTCTTTACAAAGTAACATTGATATTTATTTAACACTGAGCTATTACAGTTAATTATTTGGGTTTCTTACATATTTTAATCATTCCCTTTGATTGTACAGGAGCATTTATTCTTCTTTCAATGCTTTAATTTGTTCTCCAGCAAGATGATGGCAATCTATGAATCAGGAAGCTGGCCCTCACTAGACACCGCATCTGCCAGTGTCTTCATCTTGGACTTCCCAGCCTCCAGAATTGTGAGAAATAAATAAATAAATGTTGCTGTTTAAAAAACAACAACAAAAAAGCAACTTTAATCTGTTATCCAGGTAAGCACCATTCTAGTCCTTCTGCCAAGTAGTAAGTGCTATTGTGGCAGATATAGTAGAATCTGGAGGCCAAATCCTGATTCAAATCTTGTTCTCAGCATTTGAATGCTGAAGCTGAATGACTTTGGACACATTATTAAGCCATTCTTAACATTTTTAAATGCTTTAAAACAGGGGTCCCCAACCCTTGGACCTCAGACCAGCACCAGTCCGTTGCCTATTAGGAACTGGGCCACACAGCCGGAGGTGAGCAAGGGACGAGCATTACAGCCTGACCTCTGCCAGCTGGCATTAGATTCTCATAGGAGCACGAACCCTGTTGTGAACCGGGCATGCAAGGGATCTAGGCTGTGGACTCCTTATGAGAATCTAATACCTAATGATCTGAGGTGGAACACTTTAATCCTGAAACTAGCCGCATCCCCGGCCCTGTCCACAGAAAAATTACCTTCCATGAAACTGGTCCCTGGGTGCCAAAATGACTGGGGACCACTGCCTTAAAAAATTAGCGCCAGCATATACATATAAGTAAAGCGCCCTATGTAGGGCATTCCCTTATCTGGCCTGCTTGGTTTCTGGCCATGAATGGTCTATACCTTGTTAGGCATGCACAATGTGAAAACACCATGCTTCAACTGATATTTATTTTATATCTACTATTTTCACAGATACATAAGCTGTATTCAAAAGTGCCATATCCATATATAATGTAAGAATTTTTCTTAAAGTGAGGAAAGTATGAATGACATGTAATGCAATGCATCAACATTCTTTACTTTGCTTAGTTTGCATCTTTGTAGAAACTCTGTGGAGCCCCGCTGACCAGGTACATTATTTGGCTCTGGATAAAAAAAACCTTGGGTAAAAACCTACAGAAAGGAGATTACCATATGTATACAAAGAATGGGATGTTTGCAAAGCTGAATTTATTTGGGGAATTAATGTAGATCTATCACTGTTCTTGGCATCAGAAACAGGAAGTGAGAGACTATCTTTACAGTACCTAGAAAGTAAGCTTTGGTCTGGCCCCCCCCACATGTGAACCTGAGGACTCTGGGAGGAGATAACCATGTGCAGAATTCTCATGTCACACAGGGTGAAAAAATGCCTTCAGGTGAAGTACAGAATACCTGCAGATGTTTTTCATCACTGACTTGGCATTACCCTCTAACACAGACCAAGCAGGTATCCTTATACCTCTCAATTCTTTCGTCAGGCTAGGCATTTCCCACTATGTTCGTACATTTAACCAGTTTGGGTGTGTTTATTATTGTGAAATTTACACAGATCACAATCAAAACCCAAACAATTCATTTAAGATACTATGACAGAACTTTCCAATTACAAACCTCAAAACGAATACTGTAAAGTAAGCAAAGTTTTCAACAATGTTTTTGTATTTTCAATCTCTAAAGAAATTAAAGTACTTTAGTTAACACATCCTTTACATTTCTGTCCACACTAGTAAGTAGAGTTATATCATACTGATTTTAAAGCTAAAGAAGAGAGATGAGCTATGCACTGCCCTGCCTCGCCATGAAATGTATAAACCTATATTTTCTACTGTGGCACTAATATCTTGATACTTTCCTAATTCTTTAACCTAGAGGATATTTTTCAAAATATGCACACTAGAATATGAGTATCCCTCAAAAGGCAATCAATGTTATGTAAAAAGATAGTTCTGCAATCAAGTAAATTTAGTAAATATTGGAAATAAGGTTCAAGAAGCTATTTTATGGCAGAATCTGAACAAATCTTTCATATGCAAATGGCACTGAATCCCTAAGAGGTGATTATTGTATAGCGTTTCCAAACCCAATGTACATATCTCGACAAACCATTTCTTACTGTCTTCTAGAATATCTGTTAACTCCAGAACAATAGTTCTCAAAATGGGGCCCCAGAGCCCAGAGCTTCAACATCACATGGGAATTGAATCCACATGCTCCTTCAGGCTCCTCCCAAAACCACCTGAATGAGCAGTTCTGGCAGTGAGGTCTGGCAATCTGTGTCAGAAGCTTCCAGGTGATTCTGATGCACACTCAAGTTTGAGAACCACAGATATTCTAGCAAGACCATTCTCTTCCCAAGAGTAAAAGCATGGTTTCCATAATTATCTTAGAAAGAAAAGGTTTTCAAATTAAAGTGAGTCCTTAATAATAGGCAGCTTTAAAAATATATCATATTTCGTCTTTTTTAACATAAATCTATTATGATTTTTTAAAATAAGTGTTGCATATATTTTAGGTATACAACATGATGTTATGGGATACCTATAGACAGTAAAAAGGTTACTACAGTGAAGTAAATTTACATATCCATCATCTCACATAGTTACCCATTTTTTGTTTTTGTGGCAAGAGTAGCTAAAATCTACTCATTTAGCATGAATCCCGCATATAATACAACTTTATTACCTATAGCCCTAGATGTGTTCACTCTATATATCTGCTACTTTGTATCCTAAATATACCCACTGCTTTACAAATTATATAAAATATTTTTCTTTGCTTTATTATTTTACTGTTTATCCTTACCCAGGCAAAATTCATGACACTAATTAAAAAAGAATTAACTGGTTTTATTGTACGTGAATAAGAATGAAAACGTCACTTAGCAATTAAATGATCCACATGACAATGATAAACACAAATAAAAACTAATGTATCAAAATGTCTTATAAGAATATTTCTTTATGATATATTTCAAGTAGTCAAAATTATGGAAACAGAAAGGAGAAAGGTGGTTGCCAAGGGCTGGATGCAAGAAAAAGGGAGAATCCATGTTTAATGGGCGTAGAGTTTCAGCTGTGCAAGATGAAATTCTGGAGGTCAGCTGTACAACAATGCGGATATACCTAATAGTATCGAACTGTACACTTAAAAATGGTTAAGATGGCAAATTTAATGTTACGTATTTGTTACCACAATTAAAAATAAAACAAACTTTTTAAAAAAAAATCTCTATTCAGCTCACACAATGAAACTGAATCACTGTGGCACTTTCTATCTGGAACTAGGTATTTATGTTCTATTTCCCTCTGCAGCACTTGTTGTCTAAAATAATAAGATCCTGAAGCAAATGTTTTGCAAGATAAACTGTAAAGCCAGTAACGCAAATATAAGGTTTACCAGCAAATTATTACTGTTGAAAACAAATATTATTACAGTATCAATATACTCTTTCCAGGAACTATAGTAAAGAGGGAAAAGATATTTAATTCACTGGGATATAATATACACTTATTTTCAAAATAAGGAGTATGATTAAAAAGAGAAGGGCACAGCATCAAGGGACTAAACTCTAATTTTATGGTAGGAAAGCAAACATAAAAACCCTTAATTTCAATAAAAGAAAATTTCTCCCATCATTTATTCAAAAAGCTTCTATTGAGTTCTAGGCACTCAGCTTCTAAAGAAATGTGATTCCTGCCCTTAGAAAACTTATAGTACATTGAAAAGATATTTACCACAATAAAGTTATGTCTAGTTGAACAATTATTCTATTTTTAAAAAGTTAATTACTAAATTGAATGTGAAAAAAACAGTTTAACCACTGTCTTTGTCCACAGAGTAGCTTAAACTCATTTTTCAGTCTCTAGAAATCTCTGAGCATTTCAAATTCAAGCTCAGATGGGGATTTGAGGAATTGGGTTATAATAAAGACACCTTGGTTTAGTCTGATGAGACAAGATTTTTGTGAAGTGAAAGCATTTATTATAAGCTTTTAATGCCTCCAATATAATCTCACATTTCTGTACCAGCATTCGTCATTTCTATTTGTATAGTGTCTGGCAATTTATAAAGCACTTTCCTTGACATTATTTCACTTGATCCTTACAACTCTTAATTAGGTTGGCAGATATTGTCTTCATCGTTTTATAGATGTGATGCTGAGACAGAGGGAGATTAAATTGATTGAGTAATGGTCACCAGTCTAAATTACTTGTAAAACCAGCACTAAACCCAGGACTTTCTTTTCACCTCAGTGGTGTGTTCGTAAATTCCTTCACCCACGGTAAAATTATTTGCAACACATCATAAGTAATGTAATAATAAGAAGAAAATGATTCATTTAGGAATCGGCAGAGGGCTTATAGGAAATGTAACAGGGAGACAATTTTGAGGAAAAATTTCCCTCCCTGGGGTTCCCTTTCTCCCAAAGAAACCATGTAATGACTCCATTTCTGGTTTCTGACTATTTTAGAAGCATTGATTATAATCTCTACTGCCTCAAAAACTGTCGAAATACAGGGTTTTATTTGTACAAGGCAGATTAAATGGACAGAAAATAGAAATTCTTTGCAAGTCACCTAAGAGAATAGCAGGAAAAGAAGTAAGCTGGAAAGAAACAAGAACCACACATCTAAGAAGCTCCAGGATGGACTGCGGCTGTTATTTACAGAATCCCTGCCCAGGGAGTGAGGTTTTCACCAGGCCTCAGGCCCCACACATCCCAGGTACTCCCGAGGAAAGGGATAAAAGCCAGCAGCAAGCCACTGCCTGGTGGCTCCATGCACCACCTCCGTCCCCGAGTCCCAAGAGCTGCCTTACCCCCACCCTATATTTGTTCCTCTTCAAGGCTGCCTTCACACCCAGGCACACATGTGGCCGGGACTGCATGTCTTCCATCCATTCACAGGGATTCTTCTCCTGTGCCTCTATCACACACATACACACACACACACACACACACACACACACACTCTCTCTCTCTCTCTCTCTCTCTCTCTCTCTCTCTCTGAAAAGGCCAGAGCTTCTGCCATTTCTTAAGTTGTGTGCTCCTGACTAAACTCAAAGTACTTCACATCAGAGTTAAAAGGGATCCTTGTTAGTTCATTTGACTTTTTCAAAACCCCAAAATGAGCAAGTTTAAGCCCAGAGCTCAGTCTGTGACCAGGGAGAACCTTCCGGACTTTCTTTTTCATCTTCCCTCCACTTGGGGCTCCATGCCTTTCCTTGACCCTTGCTTGACTAAGGGTAAATGGTTTTACCCTGGTCACTGAACATAAAATACTTAAAAATTCTCGCTGGGCGCGGTGGCTCACGCCTGTAATCCCAGCCCTTTGGGAGGCCGAGGCGAGTGGATCACGAGGTCAGGAGATCGAAACCATCCTGGCTAACACGGTGAAACCCTGTCTCTACTAAAAATACAAAAAATTAGCCGGGCATGGTGGCGGGCGCCTGTAGTCCCAGCTACTCGGGAGGCTGAGGCAGGAGAATGGCGTGAACCCGGGAGGCAGAGCTTGCCATGAGCCGAGATCGCGCCGCCGCACTCCAGCCTGGGCGACAGAGCCAGACTCTTGTCTCAAAACAAAACAAAACAAAAAAATTATCCTGTTATGGGCGAAACTGCATCCCTCCAAAATTCATATGTTGAAGCCCTACCCCCATTATCTGAGAATGTGACTGTATTTAGAGATAGGACCTTTAAAGAAGAGATTAGGTTAAGATGAGGACATGAGGGTGTGTTCTAATTGAACCTGACTGACATCCTTATGAGAAGAAGTTTGGATACACAGACACCAAGGATGCACACACAGGAGAAACCCCATTGAGGACAGGGAGAAGGCAGCCATCTGCAGGCCAAGGAGGGAGGCCTCAGATGATACCAAAGCTGCCTATACCTTGATCTCTGAAACTACAAGGAAATTAATTTCTGTCCCCTAAGCCATCTAGCCTGTGGAATTTTACTATGGCAGCTCCAGAAAACTAATATACTAATTGATTCCTGTGCTCCCACTTACATTATGTTTGAGGTCTGTTGAGATCCCTCTTTACTATCTAGTCAAACATAGTATTCTGAAGAATGAGGCTCTCTTCTCCTCATTTCCATGCCTCATAAAATTCCGTAAGGTCTAAAACAAAAGGATCTTTTTGTACATGTTGCACATGTGCACGTACTAGGATCAATGACAGAAAAAGCCATTTCATGTACCCAATTAAGATCTTAAATGAACCATTTTTAGAAAAATAACCATTAGGAACTTTAAAACAGTCTTCCCCCAATAAGATGAAAAGAGTTTCAATGAGTTACAGCATCTGTTTGCAACATGTCAGAGCTGGCAGACAGGTTAGTCTATAATCAGAAGAGGCTTTCCCAGTTTGGAAGCAGGACCTGTAATATTTCTCAATATTTTGCCCAGGTACTTAAATTCAGTAGGCTGGAATATGCACTCACAATTTTTGATATGTAATCTTGTGATTCAGTCTTTCCAGTGTCTAACCATAAATCCTTTCTAATTCTTTATATAACATTTTTTCCTTAGTCTTTTATGCAATCTTAGGTAAGACCCTAATTTGTGATATAACATTACTATGTTAAAGCACTTTGAAAGCACAGGAAATTATATCAAAATTAGAATTTGATGTATTACTAATATACATGTCCATTAACACTCATTCAGAAAATTTCAAAAACAGTGGATATATTTTTTGCACTATATTTACGAAAGCGATATTTCATACATTAAACCATTCTGATAGCATAAAATCATAGACCACTTCTAAGGGAGAAAATCCTAATAAATAACTTGAATTATCTGAAGGCAGGTTCTATTTGTAATAGTTTTTCAGATGAAAATAGTCTCCTTTTGGAGCTCTGTATATGACATCTGATTTAAGATACCTGACAAAATGCCTAGTATGTAGTAACCATGTAATATATAAATAAGTGAATGAATATAGCAATACTGTAAATGTTTTAGAATGAAATCTCTATGTGGCAAAGGATCATGTCCTCTTTTGAAATTCATTCATTATAGCATAAAATTCAATATATTGATAGTAGAAGAATTATTTTTGTATTGATACTTAAAGGACACTTAAGGGGGCAATAAATCATTCATATCACTTTCCGAATGAACCTACCACATTCCCCCAATGACACATTACTCATTGTTTATGTGGCATTGCTCACCAAAATGAATACCTTAGGGACTCCATAATACAATACCCTAAATGTAGTTCATGTTTAGTAGATAATGATTGAATGAATTAATGAATACATCTGTAGGTGACTGCTTTTTACCACTCGCTTTTAAAGTTTTAAATTTCTTAAGCTGTAGGAAGACAGCTTAACTCATTTCCCTTAAAAAATGAGGCAATCAGCCAGGTGCAGGGGCTCACGCCTGTAATCCCAGCCATGGCGGGTGGATCACGAGGTCAGGAGTTCAAGACCAGCCTGGCCAACATGGTGAAACCCCATCTCTACTAAAAATACAAAAATTAGCTGGGCATGGTGGTACGTGCCTGTAATCCCAGCTACTCAGGACGCTGAGGCACAGAATTGCTTGAACCTGGGAGGCAGAGGTTGCAGTGAGCCGAGATCGCACCACCACACTCCAGCCTAGGCAACAGAGTGAGACTCTGTCTCAAAAAATAAAAATAAAATAAAAAAATAAAAAATAAAAATGAGGCAATCAATCAGTTGATCTTAAAGGGAGTATCATGCACAGAAATCCACAACATCAAAATACCTAAAATTTCTATGATAAACAGTAAAGCTTTGACATGTACAGTACTTGTTTGTTTGTTTGTTTTTTGAGACGGAGTCTCGCTCTGTCGCCCAGGCTGGAGTGCAGTGGCGCAATCTCGGTTCACTGCAAGCTCCGCCTCCCGGGTTCATGCCATTCTCCTGCCTCAGCCTCCCGAGTAGCTGGGACTACAGGCGCCCACCACCACGCCCGGCTAATTTTTTGTATTTTTAGTAGAGACGGGGTTTCACCGTGTTAGCCAGAATGGTCTCGATCTCCTGACCTTGTGATCCGCCCACCTCGGCCTCCCAAAGTGCTGGGATTACAGGCTTGAGCCACCGCGCCCAGCCTATGTACAGTACTTTTTTTAACTTTTAGGCAAACGAGTTCTATCAGCAAAGGATTGTATGTCTATTATTACAACTGAAATAATACTAATGGATTATGTGTTCAATGTTTATAATATCTCTCTTAAAGTGCAATTCTTTTTACCTAGATATGATTTAGATAAGATTCAGACTATCTTTTTGTAAAAATCACTTGGAAAACATATTCCTAGATGTCAGAGAGAACTAAAAGGTTTTTCCTAGTCCTCAGGAGACAATTTGCCTTTCTAGCATACAGTGTATTCACATTTGACTTTACAGGTTGCATTTCAGGTCATTTCGGCTTTTGTTGCATTTCAGCTTTTGTTGAGAAGGGTAAAAAACTTCTTTTCCTTAAACACTGCCTATTTTTCCTTTGTCCTACATTTTTAATGAGAATAAAACCTACCACCTTACTGCATTTTATGGATAATCAAATACCAGCTTTTTCAAATCCTAATAGAAAGAAGCATAATTCTGTTTCCGCAGCTGGGAAATACAAATGTTTCTGAACTGCTGGTATCTAACATGGAAATAAAGTTGGATAAGTCAATGGATAGGCACAGGCATAGAGGGTCTGAATTCTGTGGTCCACTGTCTGTTCAGAGATTCTCAGCTATTGCCAGTGATAAAATAGATGAATATTTATGACCTCATTTACGGAATCACTCACAGACATTATATCCAAATAAGAGTAGAACAAATTGTTGGAGCTCCACTCTGATATCTTACATGAATTATTTAATAATCTTCAAAACCTGGATTTTTGTATTTCAACAATCCATGTTTTGCAAAACACTATGACTCCATTCTAATCATACCATTCAAACATTTTCTAAGTTATATATATATATATATATATATATATACACACAGACAATGAATCACCTCATTCTTCAATTTCCTCTCAAATTTCAGTGCTTAAAATTTTTCACATTCATTGGTCTATAAATTATTTCTCAAATGAAGTGACTATCATTGGAATTTTTAAAAGGCAAGTTAGAATGTAAAATAAATTTATATATCATGGTTAAATCCCTAACCAGTTTTAGTTTTGTTTATCTTATTCATTTGGTAAATCTGCCATCTAAAGACAACTTACATATTCCCAAAGCTAAGTCATTAAAATTACCACTGAACTATAATTATCTTATTCAAACTAGTCACATTTCAGAAATAATATGCCCCAAAGTGGTCTAGTTTATACAATCCAATTTACCCCATTATCAAATGAAGAATTCATATCAAGTAAAAAACTACAGCTTATTTTTCCCTAATACAAGCGAAAAAAAAATTAACTACCTCTTGATATTCAATAAATGACTATAATCCCATCAGCACAGCACAAAACAAACTTGACTCCAGAATCTATAAAACTTAAGATGTAATGTCATATAGTTTATTAGTTATGATTACTGTAAGTAACTAAAGGAGTTAATTAATGGTCTGCCATGGTAGTCAGCAAGTCTTGGTTCTTTATTCTGAAAAGCACTATAATTAAATTTTAACAGTCTATGAAAGGAAAATCAGTTCTTTGTCTACCAAGTATTACTATTTCTCATTATAAAACATCACTTGGAATACTCAAAAGGTTGGGATATTTTATTCATATTTCTTTCCAAATTCTATGATATTCCAGGCAAAATTCACTTCTGTATCTAATAAATAGTATTACTGATTTGCTCAAGCTCAAGAAAAAGCTGAGTAAAGTAAATATTTAAACCACTCACTTGATCGTCCTCAAGAATTCTAAGCATGGTTGTATTATTTACTTATACAGTCCCTTTCCAGTCATATGTTTTACTTTTAGATCTCTGTGTAAGAGTACATCTATACTCTAAAGCTGTATCTGATACATGTCACGCCTGCATTTTATCAACTGTCTTAGGGTTTATCTAGGATGTAATTTTGATAGTCAAAGATGTCTGAATACTTTTGCCTTAAACCTTAGTTGTTTCAGAATGAAAAGTTTTTCTTCAGTGTTTTCCAGACAATACCTTCACTGTCTTGGGGGAGGGCAGGCAGCACAGGGAGACAAATAGAAGATTTGATCATTAAACCAATGTTTTGTAACGTAGTTGAGTTAAAATTACACAAAGCAGAAGATAAAGGTCAAGAGATAGGAGGTCTACAGTGGAGTAGAACTTTCTTTCCCTAGCCCTAAAGTTTCCTGTAGAGACATTTCTGTTAGAATACGCCAGGCCTCTCTCCTGCTCTGTCAGTCAATTCTACCTAGGGAAGGAGGAATGATTATTAGAAGTAGGAACCAGGCTTGCAACACAAACACTCCCTGCCCCTTGAATGAATTTGCTTTCTCTTCTGCTTTTTGCCCAGAAGGAACACAGCAGAGGCTTCTGATTGTCCAGATGTACCATTAACTACGGGTGCAAGTCTATTAAATTCTGCTGGAAATTGGCAGAAAGCCCTTTCAACCTAAGATCTAAATACAGACCTACAATCAGCTTTAATCTCCATCTGTCACTTTAATCTCCATTTATCTGTCTTTTCTATACTGCTTCTCATCTGGTGCTAAACTATGGAAGTGAAGGAGAGGCAGTGTTGTTGTTGACTCTGTAAAGCTCAAAAGTTTACATATCACACTGGGGGGACTGTCCACTTGGAGCTTTTTTTTTTTTTTTTTGAGGAAAATAAACATAAATTTTAAAAGAAGGAAAATGTGAAAATGCTAGGACAGAGATATAAAATGTATGGGAGCCTGGTATAAAAGGCAGAAGAGGCTTCTAAATAAGGGATTCTGGAAATGCTTCAGTGAGAACTATAAGTAGAATTCAAAAGCATTTTGGATTTGGAAGCAATTTACAGAGAAGAGGAGAAAACATGTTCCAGGTATACAGAAATAAAACAATGTTTAATTCTCTGTTAAGTGGAGTAAAAAGCACATTGCTTTATAATGCACACTCTCTGAACCCTTGATATTATATAAATATTATCTACATATCTATAAAGATATACATATGTAATTATGTACATGTATATATAGACATAAACTCATATATTTAAACCTCAGAAAAAGTGAGAAACATACCATGTTTAATTGAGGAGAAGCAACATAAAATCTTAGGTGATGTGGGGCCTTTTTTTTTTTTTTAAGGAGAAAAGGTCTCACTTTATCACCCAGGCTGGAGATTAGTGACATAATCACAGCTCACTGCAACCCTGAACTGCTGGCCTCAAGCAATCCTCCCAATTGAGCCTCCCAAGTAGCTGTGACTCCAGGCTCATGCCACCATGCCTGGCTAATTTTTTTTTTGAGAGCCATAGTCTTACTATGCTGCCCAGGCTGTGCTGGAATTCCTGAGCTCAAGCAATCCTCAGCCTCCCAAAGACTGGGACTCCAGGCAAGAACCACCATGCCCAGCTGTGTGGGGACTTTTAAACTTACTCATATCTCTTTTAAACTTACTCATATCATACCACACATATTTCCTTTTTTTTTTTTTTTTTTTTTTGAGATGGAGTCTTGCTCTGTCGCCCAGGCTGGAGTGCAGTGACGCAATCTAGGCTCATTGCAAGCTCTGCCTCCCAGGTTCACGCCTCCACACCCCGTTAATTTTTTTTTTTTTTTTTTTTGGTATTTTTAGTAGAGATGGGGTTTCACCGTGCTAGCCAGGATAGTCTTGATCTCCTGACCTCGTGATCCGCCCACCTTGGCCTCCCAAAGTGCTGGGATTACAGGCGTGAGCCACCGTGTCCGGCCTACCACAAATATTTCTATACAGTTGGCTTCTGTTGATCTTCTAGCAAGTTATTAATTGAAACAGAAAAAGCAAAAGAAGGTGGGAGAAAGGCAGACAGAATTACAATAAGAAACACAGGACAATAGAATTGCAAAGGCCTTAATCTACTTCTTTATTTGTAAGTTACTCTAGGGCTGCGAAATGTCATTGAGACATCATTATGGCAGTCAATATTCATTATATTGATAAATACAAAATTAGAAATCAATATCCAAATGTTCAGCTGATGGAATGAGAGATAAATGTCAGGTGGATACTGATTTCAAAAATTATAGGCTTTATACATCTGTCTTAATATATCAAAATTTAGTTTGATTGTGTTTTCACTAATAGAACCCTGAAAAGTCAATACAACATTAGATTATTTCCAAACTTGTGACATGCCTCCAAACTTTTCATCGAGTACATAATCACTCTGAAAATAATATTGCTAGACAAACGCATCTTCTCTCTAGGTCAACTATGTCTTTCCAAACCTACCTTTAACCTGATTCTTCTCTGTTTCAATGATAAAACATTAATTTATTTTATATATTTTGTAAATTTAATAATTGTTACCTTATTTGTTTCAACTAAGTGTGAGTATGACAATCGTAACTAATGCTCCCCAGAAAAGACTTTAAAAGGGGAAGAAAAGAGGTTCTGACCTTGGCAAAGCTCCAGTCAGGATTCCTAGAGAACAGGAGGCTTGAGCTAAATTCGAAGAATGCACAGCAGGGAACTTGTTGAAGGAAAGGGAGGCAGAGAAGAGAGCATAGAAGTGGGTCTTGGGACACAGGGGCTTGTGGTCAGCAGATTGGGAGTGGAAGGTTGAGCAATGATGTCTTTCTAGAGGCATTCCCCTGTCTGAACCAGGGGAATGACATTCTGAAAAGACCTCTCTGGCTTCCCTTAGGCAATCTTATCAAGGAAGCTCATATGCACGTGCTTCCAAAGAAGTCCAATATAGATGCAGCAAACAGCACTAACATAAAATTAGTCAAGTGCTTAGAGGAGGCATTCCACTACTCTCTTTCCTAAATTCACCGAGAATTGGTCTTTACGTAGCAAGAAAGGCTCCATCGACTCTCTTCCACACTTCATTTCCCTGCAGGCAGGAACTGTACTTGCAGATTCATTGCTGTATTCTCAGGCCCTGAAAGCCATAGCTCACATTCTGTAGCTTTTCTCACTGACCGGGTACTCAAATATTCATATTTTAATATTCTAAATGGAGATTATTCAAGACTTGTTTCTATAATCTCTACTTTGTAGATTGTCTATATGAACTGGGCAGAGTTTTCGTTACAGATCAACACACCTGTAAACATACAGGCGGGACCAGTCTTGACCAAATGGCATTGGAAAGTCTCCCTTCCAAGCACTACATACCAACTGCCTAAGAGTGTCTCAGTGTATGTTCAACAACAGATAAATCTATTTTGCAAATAATCCTCTCATAATTATTTTTTCCCTATAGAAATGCATATAACCCACTTTAAAATATTTTTATGATACATAAAATGCTAAAAATGAGCCCTGAGAAAACTATGCAAATATAATCATTTATTTTTAGATCAAAATGGATGCAATCTATATTAAGGGGCTAGTTACTAAGGTTACAATGAATGAGTAAATCAAGTAAAACAGTATTCAGTCTTAACAAGTATGGAAAACATGCTCAGCAACATATATCTCTACAGAGAGAGCTATAATGACACATTTTTTCCCCAAGAACTACATGTCTGCCCATCTAAGCATATTTTTTCTTTTTCATCTGTCCCTAAAAAAATATAAAATCTCTTGTTTCTACAAGAAGATGAAAATGTAGGTATATGATCTAATAGCCTGTTACTTTGGCCAGGTCATATTGGCTTTGGATGGAAAGCAGTAGATAATACTTCAACAATATTTGGCATTGTTTCCCAAAACCAAAGACCATATAAAATATCTTAGTCCTACAATTCTGAAATTAGGCATTGAGAAAATTTATAGTGACTGAAAATAATATCACACATTTGTGTAGCTCTTTATAATCATAAAGGGCCTTCACTTATATAAGATCATTTAGAAATAAAACATCAAAGGTAAGGGCAAAGGAATTGAAGCTTCTAGCATGCAAAGTGAAAATTTAGCTGTAATTTCACGTGAATCTTCCAATATATAAAGAGGAAAACTGGCGTGAATTTCTTTATGAAGAATTAAAGTCTATAGTAAATTAAAAAAAAAAACCCTCTCCTGTGGAAAACGATGAATGAGTGATCCAAGAGATCAAGGTAGCAGCTCCAATGCTTTTAATGGCATTGGTGCATATCTTTTTGGAAGATCTACATTAGTCCAATCTTAAATTTTCATTTAAGAGAAAATTGCATTTCTAAAAATTTTTATCCTTAAATGAAATAGGTTGTAACAAACTTGAATTCATCAAGATCCTAAGAAGTAAATCTTCTTTATATTTACAAAGATCTAACATGTAAATCTCCACATTTTAATACTACAATATCACTATTAAAGGAAACCAGCACAGCTGGCTTTTGCTATTAGTGAACTATCATTACTCCTGCTTAATTTGGGTTTTACAAGTTATTTTCTTTATAGATCAGTAAGCAATAAACTAAAGTAGGTGTTATAGTCTGTTTATAATCTCTTTCATATCCAGAAAGCATGAGTCTCTCAGTTCATTTTTATGCAGGAATTCTAAGTCATCATTTCTTTGTGCCTCTTGAGAAATACACGACAGAATACAGAATAATAAATCACATTTTACTACTTATAGAGTGGCAAAAGCCACAAGGCTATATGTAATTCTCTATTATTTCTGCCTTCTATAAGTGATATTTACCAACAGGCCCTTAACTCTGACATTTAATCTCCTTAAATTCTGATCAAGTTATTAACATTAACTATATTTAACTGAATAACAGTCATTCTTCCTTATTCTATTGAGAGAAAACCTTAATACAAACTGTATATGCATATTACAAAATATTCATGCCCGAATGCCCTCAGCTTCTATATTCAAACTCAAAGCACTTAAAACATAGGCTATGCTGTATGGAGGCAATTAAATATTGGCCATATGAATCCTAACAGTATTTATTCCCTTTCCTCCTTTGTATTAATGAACGTACTGGGTCTTACGAACTCAACCTCCTTCTACTTTTGAAGCACATGTTTCTTAACTTTACAGCATCATTTCTGCCAGTTTTCTTGATTCCTATGATCAAATATTTGATGACCTTTGTCCTGTTAAGGTCATGAGCTACCACCATGAATATTAGCAAATCATGCTGTTAGTGCGTCTATAATGTATTATTTGTAAGAGATTGTTTTAGCATAAAAAATTCACAACCAGAAATTATACACAATTTAATTAGAAACTATCATGATACACTTGTGGTAGGTAAAATTAATCTGTAATGCATTAATAAGGCTTTGGTGAAAAAAGTAAAACATAACTAATTACTACTTTTTCCTGCTTATTGGAAATCAGACAGTGTAAACAAAAACAAATTAGTTTTAATATTTCTGAAGGTGTCTTCATTTTTAGATAGAGTATAGACTATACACACACATGTACAGTGGTAGGCTGGTAACAATCAGCTTTCC
The DNA here is from genome assembly GCF_000001405.40 of Homo sapiens. NCBI lineage: Eukaryota > Metazoa > Chordata > Mammalia > Primates > Hominidae > Homo > Homo sapiens. The sequence continues at coordinate 93,266,015 of NC_000013.11, read as the reverse complement.
AGGAAGTAACGCCCTGGTTTTAAGTATTTGCCAATTTCTGTTATATAAACACTCTTACCTTGGTTGATTTCAACCTATGAATATCAGGACAACTCCTTGAAAAATGCCTAAAAATTGAGAGCTGCGGTGGCTCCTGCCAGTTGTCCTTGCGCATAAGGAGGCAAGGCTATGCGTTCGAGGCCAACCTGGGCAAAACTGAAAAAAAAAAGAAAAAAAAGAAAAAAAAGAAATAAAAGAAAAATGCCTAAAAATGTAACAGTTGGCTCTTGTGGGCCAATAAAAGCTGGCTCTGGCATCTCATTGCATGTATATTTGAAATAGACATATACACATACACCAGTGTAAGCTGAGTACCCTTATCTGAAATGCTTGGGACCAGAAGTCTTTCAAATTTCAGATTTTTTCAGGTTTTCAAATATTTGCATATGCTTAATGAGATATCTTGGGGATGGGACACAAGTCTAAACATGAAATTCATTTATGTTTCACATACACCTCATACACACAGGCTGAAGGTAATTTTAAATACGACTTTTAATAATTTTGTGCATGAAATGAAGGTTGTGCATACTGAGCCATCGGAAATCCAATGTGCCATGTGTAGAATTCTCTACTTATGGTGTCATGCGAGTACTCAAACTGTTTCCAGTTTTGGAGCATTTTGGATCTCCGATTTTCAGTTGAGGGATGCTCAACTTGAATATATACAAATATGTTGATATATATTAAATACATAAAAGGAAACTTAAATATAGCTCTTAACAAACACATTGATTTCTTTAAAGTTTATGGCAGCTCTTTCTAAAGGTCAGAATTTCACTTTACAGCTTCTATCTTTCTAACCATATATCTTACTATAATTTCCTCTCAGGTCCTTCACAGAGTAGCATCAATGGTTTTGAAATGCATCAGCATTTAAGCATATAATGAGCTATGGCCATATGTTTGGCGTCTAAAATAAAGCAGGCCAGATTTAAGAACTCAGAGAGTAGACCTCTAAGAAATTTCATAATCTGATTTTCTTATCATCCTTTATGAAGTTCTTATAAAAAAAGTGTTGGTGAATGAAGACTGGGCTTACTATATAGGGATTCACATATTCTATTCTAAATACGGTAAGCCCTCTATCCATGGGTTCCACATCCTGGATTCAACAAATGGAGGGGTGAAAACCTTTGGAAAAAAAAATAAAATTAAAAGATAATACAATCATAAAAAATAATACAATTTTAAAATATAATATAACAACTATTTATATAGCATTTACACTGTATTAGGTATTATAAGTAATGTAGAGATGATTTAAAGTATACAGGATAGCCAGGTGTGGTGGCTCATACCTATAATCTCAGCACTTTGGAAGGCCAAAGAGGGAAGATCATTGGAGTTCAACCCTGGGCAACATAATGAGACCTTGTTTCTACCGAAAAATTAAAAAGTTAGCCAGCTGTGGTAGTGTGTGCCTGTTGTCCTAGCAAAGTGGGAGGCTGAGGTGGGAGGATCACTGGAGCCCAGGAATTAGAGGCTGCAGGGAGCTATGATTGTGCTACTGCACTCCAGCCTGGGCAAAAGAGCAAGAATCTGTCTCAAAAAATAATAATAAATTCATAAATAAAGTATATGGGAGAATGTACATAGGTTATATGCAAATACTATGCCATTTTATATATGAGACTAGAGCATCTGTGCATTTTGGTAGCCACAGGGGGTCCTGGGACCAATTCCCTATGGATACCGAGGGATATCTGTACTTTGTTTTCAGTGTACCATTAAACTCACATAGTTCATTTTTCTACTTTTATTTACCACAGCTATTTTCTGCAGTGGTGCATAATCCCTAAGGAGAAAGGATGCCTGAGGGAATCTGAGAATTTCATTCATCCATCTACTCCATCTGAAGTTAGAAAGCCCAGACCCTTGAAAAACTACCAAGGGCCCCAGTAGCAGAAGAGCAATGAGCTAGCATCAAGCAGGGATAGGCCAGGAGCTACAGACACAGCACAACTCCATCCACAGATACCGTCACGTAAACAGGCCCCTGGAGGTGTGCAACAAGTGACTCTGAGTGGTCTGAGCTGCTGGTGTGAGAGTAAACTGGCACAACTAACAGAGAGAAATATGTGGCAATGTCAACCAAAATGCTCAGTGCCTGTAACTTTTTCCTCAGCAATTATACTTCCAGGAATTTCTTTTAGAGATACATTCCCACTTTCATGAAAATATGCACGTGTAAGGACATTAACTATAGTGTGGTTTGTAATAAAGACAAAACACCCTACATATGCAGGCCACTAGCTATCAGATAGGAATAATACAGAGTGGTCGCAGGAGAACAGAAAACTCCAGGCAGTGGCGGGGCGTGGTGGCTCATGCCTGTAATCCCAGCACTTTGGGAGGCCAAGGCCAGTGGATCACCTGAAGTCAGGAGTTCGAGATCAGCCTGCCCAACATGGTGAAATCCTGTCTCTACTAAAAATGCAAAAATTACCCGGGAGTGGAGGCACACGCCTGTAATCCCAGCTACTTAGGAGGCTGAAGGAGGAGAATCACTTGAACCCACGAGGCAGAGGTTGCAGTCAGCCAAGGTCATGCCACTGCACTCTAGCCTGGGTGACAAGAGCGAAATTCCATCTCAGAAAAAAACAAAAAAAACAAAAAAACAAAAAACAAACAACAACAACAACAACAAAAAACTCCAAGCAGCAATTTCACATGACTAGCAAAAGGAAACAGATAAAATAGCTACAGAGGCTATGAGCTAATAAGACCCTGAAAACCCACGGTGTGGGCCAAGCTGGCTAAGACCAACTGGCTCCAACATGGTGTTGAATTTGACCTAGGTTTCCCCTAAGACTTCATTATGTGCCCATTAACATACTAATCACACACCCACCAGTGCCATGACAGTTCCCAGAACACCCATATTTGTTGTAAAAATTAGTAGCATCACAGTTCTGGGAAATCTCCACCCTTTTTCTGGAATTTTCACGAATATTGCACTCCTTTGTTAAAAAAACCCATAAAGCTAGCAAACCCAGACTCCATTTGTATGACTCTCTCTTGAGTATGCCTCCACTCCCTTTTCTTAAGTGTCCTTTTCCCTTGGCAATAAATCTCTCTACTCTCACTATTTTCTGACTGACTCATCCCTGAACTCCTTCTTGCAATGGCATCAAGAGCCTGGACATCAGCTGGGGTCCAGGTCCCAGCAGTGTTTGGGAACCTCCCCCAGTCCACTGGTAGCAGCTAAATCAAGTATGATATATTTGTACAGTGGAATAAAATGCAACTTGGGGGTGTGGGGGGAAACTGAGGCAAGTCCTTATACACTGAAATGGAATACATTTCCAGATAAATTAAGTAGAAAAACATCTGCTTTACAATGTGTAGGGTATGATACCATTTAGGTTAACATATGAAATATAAATATTTCTATAAACTATCACTGGAAGAATTACAATTGCCTATAAGAATAGCCTCTAAAGAGGCCTATCCGTTTTTATCACTTGAGTATTTCTGTGTTACCAATTCATAAATAAATTTTTGAAAATGAGACATGTGGAAGGATTTGTCACAATGTGTCAATTGTGCAAGTTTTAATGGACTGTAGGCCTTCATCACATTTAATTTCGCAAGAAAACTTAAGTGTAACTTGGCGTGAAAGGATCCACACTTTCACCCATTTTTAAAATTGCTCTCTCCAGCTCACTTTTTTTTTCGGGAACCCTTCCTTCTTTCCTCTGCTGAGGGGACATCTGAAGCCATTATTTCCAAAATAATTGTCACTACAACCCCCTGACATCTGGACCTGAGAAAGGTAAAAGTTACTTTTGGCTTGAGGAATGTTGTATAAGCCAAGAAAATGTTTCAAGGAGAGTGGGAAGGACTAGGAATTTGTCCAAAAGTGTGAAAAGCTAAGGGTTGAGGGGCTATTTCCTGTATACTCATCAATATGTCATAGTCTTGTAGTCAGAATTTATGTATCTTGACTCCAACATCAGCACTCTCATAAATGACTTCACATTAACAAAATATATAATATATGCAAGTGTGTGTGTGTGTGTGTGTGTGTGTGTGTGTGTGTGTGTGTAGAGGGAGAGATAGGAGATAAATGTGAATAATGCCAGAAAGTCTAAAGTTACCTCATCTTTATTTATCTGTTTATTCCCAACGACATTTGCCTATCCTTAACATTTTTCACTATATACCAGGTTGACACCTCAAAAGTGAAGAGACAGTTAAATCCACCAGTTAAGAAGCTTATCTGTTTGTCCAACCCTGGGCAAAATACATGTGAAACAAATGAAACTGCATAAACCCATCCCTGGGGGAGCTTAAAATCTTCAAACAGCAACCACACTTCTCAGGGAATTCTGGAGTGCTGGATTTACACTCAATTTCCCTAGGAATAGACACTGTTTTCTCTTTTATTCCATGCAAAGAAATTACAAAATATATTTATCTAAAAGTGGCACTTATATACTGGATTCTTCTTATGCCTTCGAATGTTAAAAAGCAGTATTTATGCTGCATGTAAACCCAGCTGTTTCAAGTAAATGCAGTACTACAGGAAAATGTGCTATTCCTGAGAGCTGAACTTCTTGTCAAACCACAGTGAATGCTCCTAGTTCCAGAGATTCATCATTAAGAAGAATCATTCCTGGAAAGATGGAAAGTCTTAGAAAACCCTAAAAACAGGTACTTACTGAATTTGGAATAACTGATTTAAAAATCCCAATGTTTCCTACCATAAAAGACCAGTCTGCAATTGTTGACTTCTCTCTCCCTCTTAAAACCTGTGCCCCTCAAGCTCCCTTCTCCCTAACTGCCCATATCTCATAGAATTGGCTTTGTAGGAGAAACAAACCATGGTCAATAATCAATACAGGCTTCAGAAAGGAAAGCAAAGACATGGTAATATCTCTAGGTCCTTGGGTCTAGAGGAATAAGAAACTACTTTCCTTTTGGAAAAATTATCTGGTATTAGTGAAGGAATTTGCATATCAAGAGTTTTAGGAAAGGTGTCTGACCCTAAGCATGAAAAACATAATCATGTATTCCCACCCACCATAACATTTTATAATTCAGTATTAAACCAATACTGAACTACCAAAAAAGGAAGAAAATACAATCAAATTCTAATTTTTATCATGATGACTACTACATTGCTAGAGTTATTATTTTCCAAATGCTTTTTGATGCCCCTGTTTGCTAAGCACATTCCTGGTATGTTGGGTAATCTGATACCAGTTTGCATAATTTCTCCCAGTAGCACTATGAAAAATGGTACTAAGGACTCAAAAGCCAAAGTTTGGCCAAGTCTATAATAAAATAAATTGTAAATCTTGCCTTTGATTTTCCCATCTAGGATAATGCTTCGGCAGTGTGTCCTGTAATGTGATTTAAATACAACAATGTTCTAGGTACTGATCAATAATATTATAAATTGAGGACATGAGTAGTTTTTTAATCTGAACAATTAAAACAGACATTCACCTAAGAGGCGGTGATAACAAGTCCTAGGAGCGTCTGTTAGCCAAAGATATTTATTTCAAAGTTTCCTATTCTTAAATTCCTATGGAGTTTGACACTGAGATTCTTTTCCAAATTTTACAAATTTATATACTCTTTATAGAACTCAGTTGAAAGGCCAACTGAGTGAATTCTATTAACAAAATGAATGGTATTAATAAAATTATTTTTACGTGATGGCCAAATTTTAAACTAAAAACACTGAACCCTTAGCTAATTCTCAAATTAGTAATACATTGGCATAGATTGTTTCTCTTCAATAAAAAGCCCTTTACAAGTTAATATTTACTAAAATGAAGGCTCTTCTGTAGAAACAAATAAGTGATCACTAAGTTATACTGCTTTTTGTTTTCTCGATATGAATTGGTCACTGAAAGAATACAGTAAAAAATCATTGCAAATGTTGTAATTTTCTTTCTTGTTCCTCATTTAACTCTGGTTTCATATTACAAAGTCTTTTATTTCATTGATGTTTGTACAATGCCTAGAACTAAGCCATATTAAGTAAGTAAATCTGGAACTTCAAAAATGTGTTTTAATTTCCATTTTATTCTCTTAGTGCTTTTGAGGTTATACAACATGAATAATGAGATATACAGTCATCATGACATCCAGTAACTGTGATGAAGCAATACCATTCTAATGATGCTACCACACAAGATATTGAAATTGACTATATTATTATTAAAAAAATCATTAAATGGGGAAACAATCAGCTTATCCATTTTATACTCCTATGTATACTCTGGAACCCAACTATCTGAAGGTTAGCATATTCACTTGCTAAGACTGTGGTTAAGATGAGATGGATGTCTCCTACCCTAGAAATAATTCAGTTCCCTATAATAACAAACTGACTGGAAAAAGAACTCACAGGAAAAATAAGACAAACAAGCAAACAAACAAAAGACTCATAAAGAATAAAGGAAGATACAGTCCCTTAAAAGATGAAAGATGATAAATAGAAATATCAGTATACAAAATAAAGCACAAAAACATTATTTACCCTATATGAGGATCATATTACTATACTCCTGAGAAAAAAATGAATGCCTATTACTAGGAAGCTTCTACATAAATCTGATTATATTCCCATTTAACTTTCTGCTTGTCTTTTTGTACCTTTAAGATAGCTCACAACTCTTAGGACTCACCCACTTCCACAGAACTCCATGTATCAGTCCCTAAAGTTCCATAGAGCTGCTCTAACATGAGGAAGCATGGCTTAATCGGATCCCTTTTGAACAGAACTCAACAGAATATCAGGCATGGGTTCGCCTTTAAGTGGTTCATGAGCACATATTATGAACATAGAAATCCAATGAGAAATTACAGTGGAAAGAAATGTAAAGAGAAGTGGAGCTTGTTTCTAAAGCAGCACGAAAAGTAATCAATAACCCTACCCTACCGTTAAAATGATTCTCTCTCTTCAGTCTTTGTACTCATTTGCATTCACCAGATACATACCATTATTTTCCAGCTTCAGAAGTTACCATGGAAGCTTTGTTGTTGTTTTTGTTATTGTTCATTTTTCGAGACAGTGTCTCACTCTGTCACCTAGGCTGGAGTGCACTGGTACAATCAAAGCTCCCTGAAGCCTCAAACTTCTGGGTTCAAGGGATCCTCCCAGCTAAGCCTCCCAAGTAGCTAGGACTACAGGCACATGGCATCACACCAGGCTAATTTTTTTTTATTTTTTATTTTTTCTGTAGAGATGGGGCCTCACTATGTTGCTTAAGCTGGTGTTGAACTCCTGGCTTCAAGCAATCCTCCTGCCTCAGCCTCCTAAAGTGCTAGGATTACAGGCATGAGCCATTGTACCCACCCCCATGGAGGTAATTTTTAACCAAGATTGTTTGTCTTCTGCCCCTCACATCCCACCATTCAGAGCTTAGTTACATGCCACAGAAACTAATTATGGCTAATTTACACAGGAAAGGATTTATTTACAGAAACTTGGGGGTGAAGAACTAGGATAGGAAGACAAGTAGGAACAAGTGAAGCATCAGCCAAGACCACAGCCAAGATCAAACCACCAAGGCCATCCATAAAGGGCACCATTGTAGCCAGTGAGCCCTTTATGGCACAGAGAGCCCTATTCCTGACCCTCAGCACTGGATACTTGAGGACAATGCTGAAACCTCCATGAGTGCCATTTGGCCACTGCTACCTGCAGAATGAGTTCTTCACTGTTGCTGCTTCTTTGTGTTACAAGTAGCCAAAGCAAAGACTGAGACTGGCATATATCATTGGTCTATTGTAGGTCATGTACCCACACCTTGGATGCAAAGGAGCTGGGGAAAGCAAGCATCTGGAATTTTCAGTTTCTGTAACTTTAGGGAAGCTCTGCCTCCCATGAAGACTCAAGAGGATGGGAATTTCTCAAACTGAAGAGGAGCATTCAGATGCAAACAGCCCGAGTAATGACAATGTAATACTACAAAGTTTTACCCATAATGACTAAAATGTCTATCAAACTAATAAGCTATCACTTGATCTTACTGGAAGTTTCTAGAAGTGTCTCAATACCGGAATAATTTTTTACTACTTCTTACCTTCTCTAACAACTGAGAGCTAAATGCTTCCTAATATTTGGAAAGAATTGCATTACAGGGTATGTAGCTCAATGATTTGAGAAATTTAATACTAGAAAAAGTTAATTTTCTCCTTTGAAAATGAAATCATATAATTCACCTAGATAGTAGTTTTGTATGTGGGCTTTAGAATCTGCCTGGCTTATCTGCTTTCCCACCTGTGTCCTTGGACAAGTGAATTGTCTCTGCCCCAGTTTCCTCTCTGCCTCAGTTTCCTCATCTGTAAAATGTGGTGATGATGCCTATGATGAAAAGATGATGTAAGGATTATGCGAGATACTACAAGAGTTTAAAACAATATGTGGGACCTAGAGAGAGCTCAATAAATGTTCTGTTTTATCAGAACATATATGCAGTGTTGCAACATGAAGCCTCTTTTTAACAATCTTACTGTAATTTCCATAGTTTACCTTGATTCTGTTTCATTTCATTAATGGGTGACCTTCAACTATATGGAAAGGCCAATCATCTGATACTTTTGCTATAACGAGAGAAAAGAGAAGAGACTATTTTATCCTTTAAGAAAGGTAAGTGTAGACCATTCCACTTATAGTGAAAGTAATGGTTTTATAACAATGATTTTTTTTTTAGACAGGATCTTGCTCTGTTGCCCAGGTTAAGTGCAGTGGTATGATCATAGCTTATTGCAGCCCCAGCCACCACCTGTGCTCAAACAGTCCTCCCCGTCAGCCTCCTGAGTAGCTGGGACTACAAGCATGTACCATCATGCCTGATAATTTTTTTTTTGGTAGAGAAAAGATCTCACTATGTTGCCCAGGTTGGTCTCGAACTCCTAGCCTTAAGCAATCCTCCCACCTCAGCCTCCCAGATCACCTGGACTAGAGGCCTAAGCCACCATGCCCAGCCCATTAACAATGCTTTTTTTTTCACAAAGTTACAGGCAAAAGGCAAGGAAGATATCTTTCTAAAGATTAGGTTGGACAAAATAATGTATAACATTAGCTGTACCTGCTCTCAGTATAAATTTTACCCTCTAGATTGCTAATTGACATGGTATAGAAACATCTCAACATCAGTCTCAATGTGAAATACCTTTGATGACACCTCATACTTTGTATTCTCCTACAGAGTAAGCTCCTTGAGGGCCAAGTTCATGTGCTCCATAAAAATCAATCTAAATGAAAAGCCGTAATATAAGGACTGGATGATAGCACATGCCTAGTAGTATACAGAGTATTTTTCATAACAGAGAACATACAGGACTTAGTCAACATCTACATAGAGGTTGTTTTCTAGGAATCAAATGAAAGCCTAGGTCATTGTCACCATTTGATTGTTCATTATATGTGTACTAAATTTCTTATCTGAGCCAGGCACTGAGGGCTATGCCAGGATAAATGAGACCTGATCCTGCCTTTCAGAGTTTACAGACTAAGGGAAGACTAATCAAATATACCAAATATTTATATTTCATATTTGTAATAACAAGTTAAAAAGTGATTACTGCTCCAAAATATTTAAGTAAAATATTTTAAGAGGTAAGAGGAGAGATAAATTATTCCTACTAAACGCATTTTAAGGAAAAAAAAAATGACGATCTCTCTTGTCCATAGGAAAGCAACTTTTAATCATACTGTCATTACTTTCTGTCTTATTTTTTTCCAAATGAAACAGAAAAATTTTCTTTAGAAATTAGGAAACATAATTGTTTTAGCAAATTAGGTTTCATGTATTAGATCTTTTTTTTTTTTTTTTTTTTGAGATGGAGTCTCACTCTGTCGCCCAGGCTGGAGTACAGTGGGGTAATCTCGGCTCACTACACTCTCTGCCTCCTGGGCTCAAGCTTAAAACTTACAACATCTCAAGCAATTCTCATTTCTTATACCTCAGCCTCCCTAGCAATTGCAATTGGGACTACAGGCGTGCACCACTGCACCCAGCTAATTTTTGTATTTTTAATATAGATGAGGTTTCTCCATGTTGGCCAGGCTGGTCTTGAACTCCTGGCCTCCAGTAATCCATCAACTTTGGCCTCCCAAAATGCTGAGATTACAGGCATGAGCCACAGGGCCCAGCTTATGTACTAGATCACAAGAAAATTTGTATTTACTATTTATTATGGTAATTAGTGAACTTATCCAAAAAAATATACTCCCCAGCCTCAAAAAATATATTCTTGGTATACAGGCTTATATTTTCCAGATTAGAAAATAGGTCCACTGTGCAAGCAATGGGGTCCCAAGGCTAAATGTTGAAGGTTTTTGGCACCATGATATACCTTTCATTCAAAGATCAGGCATACCATTTAGAAAAGAAACAGCACCTTCAGTATTCTATAAAGATCAGTATGTATGACATTGAAAGAAACACACAAGTTCAAAGCTTGAATTCCATGTAGGGGGAAAAAAACCCAAACACTTTTCACCTTGTTTTTAGAAAGAAATATTAGTTTGTACAGATCAATTTTAAGAAAAACAAAATCTGAAATGTGATAGAAAAAAGAGACAGTGTTAGATCAGTATGGTGACTATGGTTTATAATAATATATACTGCAAAATAGCTAGAAGAGAAGAATTTGAATGGTTCTAGTATAAAAAGAAGATAAATCTTTAAGGTGATGGAAATCTCAGGTACACTGATTTGATCTTTACAAGGTTTATGAATGTATTAAATTATCATGCGTACCCGAAAACTATGTGCAGCTATTATGCATCAATAAAAATAAATAAATAGAAGAAAAAAATCTGGGGTAATCATTACGTTTTCTTTCCACTAGTTCTGGAATTCACTCATTTCATCACCTCTTGCCTTCTGAAAGGACAGGTGTCTGCTGCTTCGTGCATTTGACTCATGCACTTCAGTTGGCTGCCCACTGCAGCACAGAACTGGCGAGGCACAGGCTCCTGTAAGAGCAGCGGATTGGAAACATCCTGGCTTCCCACCAGCTCCATAAATAAGGCTCCCTTGTGCCATGGTTTTAAATACCTTCATTTTAAAATTAGATTTGATTTTTTTTCTCAGAAACAGCTAAATCTCTGTTAAGCTACCAAAACATATTTTACAACTTAGATTAGTGTGGTCTGCCTTCCTGCTTTTTTTACAGCTGCTACTTTTAAGAGAGAACATTTTGCTTTCCAAATGAGAATAGAGGCTTTTATTTAAAGGATGAATTTTTCTGCTTGTTGTCATCTGGGCATCCTCACTCTCTCTATTTTTTTTTTATATAATTCCAGAACTTACTTAAAACATCTTCATATGCAAACTGAAACAGAATAAGAGTTTAAATGTTCACACTTTCAAATGTGCTAGAAAACATAAAAATTAAAAAATAAAGCAAGTCAGATCTTGAAGGGCACAAAAAAATGCCAACTTGTTTTCACCTTTTCTCCATCTGGAACCACTGGTTGCACCATCTACCTAAGAAAAGTTAGTAAAAGGGATTCATGAAACAATTGTTCTATTTAGTCACCTATGGCAAAAAATAGCCACACCATTAGTATCATCTTTGGTTATAAAAATATTTATATTTTGTACACAAGCATACACACTTTAATATGGTAGCTGTACTATCTATGGATCTTTCATTTTCATTTTTGTTTTTATAAGAGATAGAGTCTCAGTCTGTCACCCAGGCTGGAGTGCAGTGGTGTGATCATAGATCACAGTAACTTCAAACTCCTGGGCTCAAGTGATCCTCTTCTCAGCCTCTTCGGTAGCTGGGACTACAGGCACATGCCACCACACCTGACTAACTGTGATTTTGTTTTTTGTAGAGACAGGGTCTTACCATGTTGCCCAAGCCAGTCTCAAACTCCTGGCCTCAAGTGATCCTTCAACCTTGGCCTCCCAAATGCTTGAATTATAGGCGTGAGCCACCATGCCTAATATTTAAAATACACAGCACGATCATATACTAATTTTTGCTAAAGGAATGTTGGTATATGAAGTGGTAGAATGATCACCATTTAAACCCACATCTGTAGCAGGGATAATCATATGTGATAAATGTGATTATTTTCCTAACATTTCTCTAGAAATTTTATTCAAACTATGGGAAGTATATTAATTTTACATTAAATCTCTCCCTTGGTAGTTATATACCATTTCCTAAGGACAGATGCAAGTTCCATTTACTTGAACAAAGATCAATGAATGCAGTTTTGTAAAACCAGAGCTGACATTTCTCAGGAGGTTCATAGGGCATGATCTTCTATTGAAGAGAGGAATGTAGCCTCCATATTAACTATATAATTAGGGTTCATCCATTTATATCAAAGAACAATTAATACTGTATCAGAGCACTCGGTTTTTCTTCTCATCCCCCACCTCCCAGCCATGGTTACCTTCACCTGTCCTCCTTTAGGCTCCCAGCAGGTTTATCCCTCCACTCCCCACATCATACTGAAATTAATCACCTGTAAGTCAATCTTCAATGCTCTATGTGTACCTTAAGGGCAGGGAAAATGTGGATGCTATTCTTTTAGTCAAGTGATTAAAAATAAATTGTTTCTGACCTGCACTGATACAGGTAAGAGAGCCTAAGTAGGCAACAGCTTAAAATGGAATCCACAAAATTACAAGTGGTTTCTATGTACATTCCAGAAGCACAATTTATTATTCAAAGCCTCCATCATAAATAGATCATTCAAAAGGCAGTACAATTTGATTGCTTTATCCCTAGGCCTGACTTTTTAAACTAAATTTCCTCTATATCAACTTCTTTATCTCCCAGGAAATGTCACTGCCATTTAAAGTACTCTTTATGTTTAACTTCTCTAATCTTTTCAGGTATTTGAAAATTGCTGTCAGTGATAGCTAAAATATGCCATGTTTTGAAAAAACATTTTGATAGACATATACCTATATAAAACAGAGCTTCATTGGGAGAAATGTTATGCTTTAAAACAATATAAAGGCAACAAAATGCATGTTCCACACAATAAACTCTGGTGGTCTATACTTTTGCAAACTGATTTCCATTGGCTTAAGCCAATATAGCTTATCAGCTGCAATCTTTCAAAGAAAATATAAGGGTGTCTCTACATTACACAATTTAATTTTGATCTTACTGAAAGTTGTCTGGAAGGTATGCCTGGTAAGAAAACAAAACAAAAGCAAAGTTTAAAAAATTCCTTTATATTTCCAACCAAGGAGTATTTAATTATTTATTGAGTACCTACTGTGTTCAAGCACTGTGCTCCAGGGAATAAAAATATGTGTTAGAATGACCTCTGACATCTTAGAGGCAATTTGAGAAACAAAAACTAAGTCCCTCATTTTAAATGATACAAGAAAATATAAGAGTAGAAGTGGATTAGTTACCTAATAAAGAGACAAACACTATACAAGCTTGGCAAAGGTGAAAACAGGAACCAAGAGGCTTAGGGCAAATGAATTTAAAAGGGATTTTGAAGGGAGTTTGAAGAGAACTTTCAACAGGGTTGGATTTTACTTGGTGGATAAAAGCAGGGAAGACATCAGCATTGTCACGAGTGTGCACAAATCAAATTAGTCAGGAAGAAAAGTAAGTGTATTGGAAAAATCTTTTATCAGATGGAAATTTCTAGAAGGCAAATGCCTAGAAGTAAGTTAGAAAAATAGTTTGAGTTATTGAATGTCAAACCATGTTTGAAATGTATTCTCAAACCCCTGGGGGGAAAAAAAAGGGAACTGCTGATAGTTGAAGTCTTAAATTTTAAGACAGTGGTTCTCAAAGTGTGGTCCAGAGAACACCAGCACCTGCATTTCCTGGGAGCTTGTTAGAAACACAATTTGGGCTCCATCTCAGATCTACTGAATCAAAAACTCTCAGGGTGGGGCCCACCTGTTTAGGTTTGAATAAGACTTTTGGATGATTCTGGTGCACATTCAAGTTTGAGAACCACTGGTTTCAACAAATCGAAATAATCAAAGCAACTTATCAAACAGATCATTCTCCTGATGGTAAAAACAACAAACAGAAACCTGTGAAAAATGAGATGAGAGAGATGTTTCAGTGCCATTTCCAACTAGAAGACCAAAAAAAGAAAGTAAATGTTTTTAAAGATTTGCTGTTTGACATTTAACAGCATTTCAAGATCACCTTTTAAAGTTCTATTAGAGCTTCTCTCTTCAGAGCTCATCATAAAAAGAAATTAAAATGACTAAGTCTAGAGTGGGGATTACAGCCTCCTACATTTTCTCCCTGTTGCTGAACAAGGAATAGGAAGATTTCTTATCACCACATGTCATGAAGGAATGGGGAAAAGGAGAACTAACATTTATTTTGAGACTTCTCTCTGTATAGATAGGAAACCAGAGTTGAAAAGGTAAGAAAACTTTAACCAATTTGCAAGCATGAGACAAGGAATTAAGTCCTTTTGCTTCTATATAGTAGTATCTGCAAGGAATCCCAAAGATTCCTATGTAAATAAAAAGTTCATATTATTTCCAATTTACTTGATGCTCAAGAGATTCTTTGAAAGTTTTCATATTGTTTATGTAATGGGTATAATGTTTTACAAATACTTTAAAAACAGATTCCATTCTGTTTGCTCCTTAAATCATTTATTTCCTTATAGGTTTCCACCTCTAAGGGCATGAGGGTCTGTTACATCATCTCTTTAGTAGGCAGAAGTCTCTAAATGTGGCAGAAGGGCTTGAATTCCAGTCAGAAAGAGAAAGAGATAGCAAACCCATCCCTGCCCAAGGGGTCTGTGCAAAGGAAGGAGGTGGAAGAATGGTAATGGTTTGCCAAGTCACCCAGTGATACGGCTTGGCTATGTCCCCACCCAAATCTCATCTTGAATTGTAGCTCCCATCATTCCCTCAGGTTGTAGAGGGACCCAGTGGGAGATAACTGAATCATGGGGATGGTTTCCTCCATACTGTTTTGTGGTAGTGAATAAGTCTCACGAGATCTGATGGTTTTATAAGAGCAAACCCCTTTCGCTTGGCTCTCATTCTCTTCTCTTGACTGCTGCCATGTGAGACGTGTCTTTCACCCTCCACCATGATTGTGAGGCCTCCCCAGCCATGTGGAACTGTGAGTTCATTAAACCTCTTTCTTTTGTAAATTGCCCAGTCTTGGATATGTCTTTATCAGCAGTGTGAAAACAAACTAATACACCCAGTTTCTCTCTGAGCTTTGCCTCAATGCTGGGAAGCCAAAGGGAAGCAGGATGTGGGGCCCAAATTCTGCCTAGGATTCTGTGAAGAGATTGCCTGGTGGGCTACCTGGACCAACTTTAGGGTCAACTTTGGGGCACAGAGTACTCAGAGGGAGAGCTACACCCCTCACCTGGGTAGCACTGGTCTGGCTCAGCAATCCCTAGAGCCCTCCTGGGAAGAACTCAGAAAGCAGCGGAGTTGCAAACCAGAGGCTTGTCATGGTCCCCCCATGCCAAGTGATCAAGGCTGGAGGTGGGCCAGAGGCCAGTTGAGTGACAAACCAGTGACTCAGGAGGTCTTCATGCCCAGAAAGGCCAATGTGAGGGTGAATACCAAAGGAAGGGGACTAGTTACCCGGTCCTTCCCAACTTGAATAAGAGCAGATCACAAAGTATACCACCCCCAGATATGCAGGCCAGCAGGGCCCTGGAAATGGGCAGAGCCCTAGGACCCTCAGTTTTCTTTCGTGAGAAAGAGTCACTCCTTTATCACTCCGCAATCTAAGAGATTTATTTCCTCCTCTACTCTGTGTTAATTGACAAGCATGTGTACAGCCTTTCGTACTTGTCAGATACTATTCTAAGAGCTTTAGAAGTGTTCATTCGTGTAGCACAATCCCAGTGATGAGAGATAGGAATTGCTATTACCCCTGTTTACAGATGGAAAAATCAAGGCACAGAGAGGTTCAGAAAAGGCTAAGTAGAGGAGCCAGGAGTCAAAGCCACTGCACCACAGCAAGTATCCCACTTGATTGACTGTCAGCTAGAAAGGCAAAACTGATCAGACTACATTTTCAACTAGATCAGACTAAAATGTTTTCTCCTGTTACCCATCAAGTGGGAGCTCCTGCGGAAAACTACACAGGTTATATGAGCAAGAAGAGAAGGAGAAGGAGAAACCAAGAGGTGGAGGAAAAAGGAACTATATGCCTTTTACATCAGAGTTGCAACATATGTATATTTTCAATTCAAAAATGGTGGCAGCTCACAACTTCCCAAAGGTCCTTCCAAAAGCTTGTAAAATGAGCCATTTCCTGGAGTGAGGAATGATGACTCACCCGCATGGCTGTTTTTCTCTTACCTCTGCTAGTTACCACTGGAAAGTGGAAATATGAGGCGCTGCTTGGACCAAAGTGAAATCAAAAGACATACTATTTCTCTAGTTTTTAAAATGGAAAAACCTCCAATTTGACAAGGGCTCTTCAGTTATGTTTAACATTTTTTTCCCAAAAGTCCACAAGACTGAAATGCCAACCTCTTTCAACAGACCAAACCTTTTAAAGGCCTTCATGTTCCCTATGCAGGAAGCCCATAGCTGCCTATAAGGCAAACATTTCACAACCCTTACCAACAGAGGACGAAACTAAACACTCAGAACAACAGAAAGGGAAGCCAAAGGCAGAAAGGATACAATTCTAAATGTTAAATGTGTTATTTTCAGAAATACACAGCAATTTTTAGGATTAAAATCAATCAATTTAAAGTATAAGGAGTTTCAGAGGTTTCACAGGGTTCCATTAATTATTTTCCCTGATGCGATATTACCAAATGGGGGCCCCTATTAATGGTGAAAATACGTCCTCAGTGATCTCAGTTCCTGATGGGTGGTAATATAGGACAGACAGCTCAGTAAGGTGGTAGGTTTATGGCACTGATAATACTTTCTATTTATCTGAAATTTGTTTCAGTTTTTCAAATCTAACATGCCAGTGAATAGGTCCTAGGATATGGTGTTGGTACAATGTCTGTAAACAATGATTCTTTCAGGGAGGGGAAAAAAGAACAGTGCTTTCAATGTTCAGTATCCTTTACATCTGCTGCTCAGCTGGAAACACTGTTAAAAGGCCATTAGAACCTTAAGGTAACAGGCCTCGAATGCTATGAAAGCCATGGAGCAATTTGCTGTTTGTGTTAGGCGTATCAGCTCCAGCCACTTCCTTTTCATGGGCTGAAAACAGCTTCTGTCATGAGCCGTGAAAATCAATTCCACAGTAACCAGGCTGAAATGCGGTTGAAGGTGGTGCACCTACAGGCTGGCGCTGTGCAGCAGAGCCTCCTTCTGGGCATCCGTGGCACCTTCCAGAAGTTTCAGGCAGCGGCTCCCAGCAGTGCCCGGGAGGTAATGAGCAGCTCAGTACTTCCAGGAACCTTCAGGCTTATGGCTTAGGACACTGGTCCTCTCTTATACTTAATTAGGTTAAAATAGAAATTGTCACCCTGAATGAAGATAGCTGTAGGAAGTGTCGTACTGGGAAAAAGCCTGCTCTTGCTTATTTGTATTCCATTTTTCCTGATTATAGTAATTGTGACAGAGGCTCACTTAAAAAAGAAAAAAAAAAAAAACACTTTTTGTGGGCCTTTTAAAGTACAGAACATTTTTAGACTTTTTTTTTTTCAAACATAAGATCATACTTTTGAAAATATATCCTTTAGGGGACTAAGCAGTTTTGTCAAGACTGTGCTTTTTAAAATCATGGCTAGAAAGGTTAAAACTCATTTTTAAATATGCTACAGGTTTTTCTGTTCTAGGAAATTGTTATTCCAGTTGTAAAAATCAACCTTGGTTATCACATAGAATTAAGCTCATTCTAACCTATATTTCTATATATAGTCAACCCTTTGTTATACTGGAAACCTTTGTATACACTGCTAAGCATGTTCTGAGTAAGAATAAATTGGCACTCCTAAATCACAGCAACCAGCTTATGTGTATACATATAACTTCTTGTAATATTATCTCATCATCAATAGCCCAGGCCGAGTAACTGATTCAGTTAATTAGTTAAATTTTGTGTTAACAACAAAATGGAAAAAATATAATTTCATGTTTTTTGGTCTGAATATCTGATGCACCTAACTTGTTTTAACTGAAATTTAAGTGTGATTACTCCATACATATTTTGTTGACTAAAACAGAAAAATATACAATTTTTATGTCTTTTGCACAAAATACATAATGAAGATCTCTTAGTGATTCTAAGACATTTCCAAGTTATATTTTAAAGAGGGGAAGGTGGTAATTGAAAATAGATTATTCATAATAGGTGTGTTGTTGATGACATATGATTTGCCATTTGTAAGGTATTTTATATTCAATTGAAACTGACCTTTTATGAGGGCCATGTGGTAATATAAGTGAAATGAATATATTCTTTATTGCGGTCATATAAAAAGATTGGCCTAAGCTTTTAACATAATGCTTGACCTGATATCTAATATCCCCAAGTCTGTGAAAGAATATTGAATAAGATACCATATCATGAAATGAGTAGTAAAAGCATAATAAAATCCTTTCACACATTAGCACTTGATAATGTAAAAGTAACAGTAAACTAAGATTCTCAAGTTCAAGGCAAATATAGTTGGAGGAGAAGCTAATAATGGATCACCACATAGGAGTGTCCAGCAATCCTGCATTTTCAGATTGTTAGTACTTTAGAATTACAAGTTCCCATTTTCAAAATAGCAATCCTAAACTCTGCAAAAACATTTGTTAGGCCAACAGAAAACAGAGGTCAAAGATAATCTTAATTTGTTTATTGGTGATTTTTAATATAGCTTGTAGGTATCTAAAAGCGATCTCAAAAATTCTGTCTTCTAAAATCAGTTCATTAATATAAACATCTCTTTAAAGAATTAGGTATCTCCTAAGGGTACTGCAAAGATACTAGAATGGTTTTTGTTGCAAGTTAGTTTCCAGTAGTTGTTTCTTTCATAATAAAATGTTACATTATACTTAAAATTTTTGTTAAATATTTGGCTGTAAAAAAAAAAAGAAAAGAAAAAAGAGAACAAATTACCAGAAATTTTAAATGTCACAGTTTTTTAAGTTTGAAAAACTCCCAATCATGGAGATTTGGGGGGGAAATTAGGATAAGCAAACAGCTAAAAGACAATTTTTTTTTTCCAGGAAAAAATGTAAGGCCTGTCATTTAAAAATACCTATAATGTGTGCATAGTGGCTTTTTTTTTTTTTTTTTTTTTTTTTTTTGAGACAGTCTTGCTCTGCCGCCCAGGCCTGAATGCAGTGGCACAATCTCGGCTCACTGCAAGCTCCGCCTCTGGGGTTCACCTCCTGCCTCAACCTCCCTAGTAGCTGGGAATACAGGTGCCCACCACCACATCCGGCTAATTTTTTTGTATTTTTAGTAGAGACGAGGTTTCACCGTGTAAGCCAGGATGGTCTCAATCATAGTGGCTTTTGTTAAGTTCATTTCACAAGTGCTAGTGACTTTGAGTTATTCTCATCTATTAAGAAAATAGTAAATAAAAGTTATTTATTATTATTATTTTTTAGAACACTTCAAGGTGTTTTCTTTGCAAAGAAAATGGTTGCCTCAACATCACTGCAATCTTAAGAAAAAAAATACCTCTAGTTCCTTCAAATTCTGTGGAGAAGCACTGGCCCCTGCTAATCTCAGCTGTCCTGGGGGCACAAAGAGAGGAAGCCAATTGCTTGATAAACCTAAAACTATGATGTAAGGAGCAAACATGCAACTAGTAAAGCCTAGAGAGTGCAGGTGTGCATGCCCAGAATGTATTATGCTATATCTTTAATTCAATGTGTACAAAATGCAGAGTGACCAGCTCTAAATGTAGTCGCCTTGCATAACAGTCTAAAAGTCAGGGGAAATGGCTAGATCTGTGCCTGAGAGGCTAGGATAGGAAAAACAGCTCAAGGAGGAGGTTGGGGGGATGGAATTTCTCTTGACCAGAAATCTCAACAGGACCAAAAATTAATTAAGAGTCATAGGTACCAACAGAAGGCATACCATATTAGTAAGAAAAATAGGATCCTGTGGTGAAAGAAACCTGAAATGCCATTGCCCATTTCCCATTTAAAGCAATGTGGAGAGCCCATTCTACTTAGGAAGAAGAATCGTTGGCCTCTTTTGTTCCAGGCAGACATGGGATAGACTGCTCTGGTCCCATTCTGCTCTTTTCCTTAGTCCCCCTAGGGGCTCATGTAAACTTTTTAAAGTATGCGGGGAGATCTAAGTAGTACAACTTGTAGCAGTAACACACTTTGTGGGTGGAGATTCTCACCCACAACCAATGTAAAAAACAATACAAAAACCATTATCCAAAAGGTGACTGCCCACTCTGAAAGAAATCCATATTTAAAACCACAATGAATGGCAACCAGAGTATGAGCCCCAGAGACTCAAAGTATGATACCTGACCCAACAACATCAGCATCACCTGAGAACTTGTTAGAAACGCAAATTACAGACTCCAGGCCAGAACTACTACTGAATCAGAAAGTCTGGGAGGTGGAGCCCAGCCATTTGTGTTTTGCAAGCCTTTCGGTGATTCTGGTGCATAGTAAAGTTTAGGAAGCTCACTGCTCTACATCACTCATTCTCAATCCTGGGAGCACATCTAAATTAGGAAATTATGAAAGGAGGGAAAGAATGAAGGAAGGAAGGAGAGAAGAATAGAAGAAGGAAGGACTGTGCCCTTTCCCAAATCAATTAAATCAGAGTATCCAAAACTGAATAACGGTGCTCAAGTATAGATAATTTTCAGTGCCCCACATTATAGCCTAGAAGACTGTTAAATTTTAAGGAATTTTGTGAACTGGCTGTTAAACTGTTGGTAGCTTGAAATTGTTCATGGTGAGAACATTTATACCACAAAACTTACCAAATGCTATGAATCAGTGTCCCCTCCACACCCAGGCAGTTGTTAATACCTAATCAGTTCATCACTGGCCAGGGTTGAGAAATACTGGACTAAAGTGACAATGCCAAATACCTCATTAATTCAGACAGCCTCAGCAGTTTCTCTCAATTTCTCAATTACTACTCAATTTATTGGGATTCTTATTAAGATTATGAAGTTTTTTTTTTGAAGATGGCAGATTAGAGGCTTTGTTAGTGTGCGTCACCCTTTTGAAAAGAGCAAAATAGTATGTAGAGATTCACGCTGTGCACTTTTATCTAAGAAGGAACAGAGGAACTCAAGAGAAAAAGTGAAAGAAACTTTGGATACTGTGAAAGGAGCAGTAGGCAGCAGGCTGCACTGTGAGTCAGGCAGAAAACTTCAGTCTTTGGAGCGTGAAAGGGGAGAGACTGTCTCCTTCATACACATTCCCACTGGGGAGCCGCTTAATCCAGGCCATGGGGGAGCTCCTTAACCCTACCGGGTGCTAGAGCTGATTTGGGGAGCAGTGGGGAGAAGGAGCAGCATGGAGAAGTGCTTTGCATGCCCGCCCAGGCGCCAGGAGGGGCAGAAGGAAGACACTCCTAATCCAACTCACAGACGCCCACGTGAAAATCTGCTAGCTAACTCAGGAGATGGCCACAGGCTGAAAGAAGCTCCCAAGCGAGATTTGCAACCTAATCTTAAGCATAAAGCATGCTTCTGGCATGGACACAGGAGCCAGGTGCCCCTGCTTCGTGGGCCAAACTAGAAGGGGTGTGGCCTAAGAGCTGCGGTTTCTGTCTTGCGGGGGAAGTCTTGCAGTGTGTGGCAGTCTTGCACTGTGGGACCCAGCCGGCCCTTGCAGCTTTCTGCCAGCAGAAGTCTGTGGGTGTGAGATCTGCCTTGTCAAAGGCATGGGAGCTGGGTGGGTCTCATTGCCACCTGCTGCCCGGCTCCCAGCGTGGACTCTTTTATGCAGCGAAAGTGGTTCCATTCCTCTCTGAAACATTACCCCAGTGGCCAGGGAATTTCCCACTGACTCCCATCAGGGCTCCTGCTTGCACTCACACCTAGGGAGCCAAAGCACGGGACTGCCTGACCCAGCCCCCACCCAGCTTTTCCCCTCCACCCACCTTGGCAGCAGAACACAGACAGGGCCTTTTAGGAGTTCCACGGCCCTGCCCATCACCAGCAACATCTGAGTGCTTCCCCTGAATAACACAGGCCAAGCATCCCATGGCCACCCCAGCAGCTGGTTCTCTCCTACAAGCGCTACCTCCTGGCCCGACTTCACCCAGCACAGCCCATTACAACATCTTCTGACACAGTAACACAGTGCTTGTGAAGGAGAAAACTCTTCTTTGACCTCAGCTAACACCATTGTCCACACCACCCCAGCTACCCAGGAGGACTTGAGCCCGCTCACATGCCCAGTACATTGATGCTACAGCTGGCAAGTGAGAAAGCCACCAAACCACACCAAACAGCCTTATTTAGAAATCCTGAACAGACCAAGACAGACCTACAGAGCCCACACCACTCCCCTGCCACCCCCATCAGAGCTGGTGCTCGCACCTGCCACTGGGAGACCGGAGAGGACAGGTCAGCCTGGTCCAGCTCCACCCATATCACTTGTCTCTGGAGCTAAGAGCAAAGCCCAAGCTACTGCAAGTCCTGTAGACCAGTCCATGGCCTGAGGGATCAGAGGGCTTTTCTAGATGGCTGACTAGAGACATGGGTGAACAATTCCCTTCAGAACAACAACAACAAAAAAAACGAATTACAGGTGAATGTGAATAACCATAGCCTAAATGGAATGTTAAGGGGAGATTGTTGGAGCCCATTGGAAAGTTCATTGGAAGAATCTACAGCATACACAAAAATTAAGGAATCAAGAAGCTTGCAGAGATCAAATCAAGAGAGACTTAGTATTCTGTGGAAAGGGTAGGTGGGAATGCTCTTGGCATCTCTAGCCCTTGCAGCAGACTGCTGGTATCCAAACTCAAGGAGAGCTTTTTTGCCACCATGAGCCCAAGTACTGGAGCGGGCTGCGATCTGGGGACTTCTCGAGGGCATTATATTGGGCTACCATCTCGAACAGGGTCCCTTCCTGTTCCCCCGGTCCCAACCTGTAGTAGCAGGTGCCATACTGAGTGTGCACCCATTGCGAGACTTTGTTCTGCTCAGGGACTTCCAACCCTTGTGTCTTCACATCACAGGATCCCTTGTAGACATGCCTCAGTACCAACCTGGATTGTGGCAACCCCACATGGTGGCTAGACCCAGAGGAACAGCAGGATTCACGGTGGTCTGTTCCCCAGGGATTGTCATACCTAGGGAAAGGGGGAGTGCATCATACCAAGGGAGCACTCTGTGGGACAAAAGAAACAGAGTGCAGGCTTTTCTGTGTCCGTGAACTTGCTGCTTGTGGGCTAGGAGCAGCTGCAACTCTTTCAGCAGAGGGATGGGCACAGTGCTCAGCTGAGTGGGAAGACTACAATTCTTCCCCAGCGGTCGAGCAGCCCCAGTACTCATGAAGTGACGTAGAGGGGACTTCTCCCCCTCACCCACTGCTGCAGACACAGCCAGGATGTCTCCTGTAGGAGCTTGGCTTGGGTGCATCTGTAGATGGTCTTTATAGAGCATTTTGGGGTGACTGTGTCCCCACAGGATGTGTGTCCTCTGGGGTCAGGCTTGCAAGAGGAGTAGAGCCCTGCTCCCTCTCTACACAAAATGTCAGCATTCCTGAAGATGGAAAGATGCTTGTCTAATCTGAATATCCAGAACACTGGGACAGGAGGATGATAGGGAGTTGGGTTGTTTTTTGCCAGGCTTGTAGTAGAGCTGAGGTAGCACCCTTCCTTTCACCTATGAAGACCTCAGTGCATTTCATGGGAACTCCCTAGGCTACATCCATCAGGGCTGGGATGTGTGCTCACCATTGTGGTATTGCATATACCCACCTACCTTAGCCACAGCCAATTCTTACCCATGAACACCTCTAATTAAACTGAAGACTAAATTGTTCAACCCACTGAAAAAATACTGGGGAAAAAAGTACACATCAAGAGGAATAAAATAAGCTTCAGGAGACCTCTGCCATTCCAGCACCACAGGAGACAGTGGCCCTATTCACACACCCGCTACATTGCTACTAAAAGCACGACCTAAGAAAGCCATCAGACAAAATTCTGTATAACCAAGGAACTTACACAGAGTCTTTGCAACTGAAATTACCCAGACCCAAAGCTAGGGAATCATAAACTATACACATTATAGTTACATCCTCAAGGAGAAAAAAAAAACCCAGTTCAGTCAAAACTCAATTCAAAAATAATAAGAAGAAACAATTCTATCCAGATGAGAAGGAAGCAGAAAAATAATTCTGGCAATATGAAAAGCAGAGTTTTGCAATGCCCTCAAAAGATCACATTAACTCTTTAGCAATAAATCTAAACCAAAATGAAATCTTGGAAATACCAGATAAAGAATTCAAAATATTGATCATAAAGTTTCTGAATGAGATCCAAGAGGAAGTCAAAACCAACATAAAGAAATCAAGAAAACAACTCAAGATATGAATGAAAATTTTCCAAGGAGATAGATTTTAAAAAATCAAAAAATCAAAACAAAACAAAACACAGAACTTCTGGAAATGAAAGACTCATTTAGGGAGTTACAAAATGCAGTGAAAAGTTTTACCAAGAGACTAGACCAAGCAAAAGAAATAATTTCAGAGCTTGGATATAAGGCTTTTGGGTTTACCCAACCGAACAAAAACAAAGAAAAAAGAATCAAAAGAAATGAATACAGTCTCCAACAAATATGGGATTCTCTAAAACATCCAAACCCTATAATCATAGGTATTCCTGAAGGAGAAGAAGAAAAAGTAAAAAGTTTGGAAAACCTATTTGAGGGAATATTTGAGGCAAACTTGTCTGGTCTTGATAGAAATTTAAACATCCAGACACAAGAGTCTCAAAGAACTCTGGGAGATTCATTGCAAAAAGAATATCAGTAAGGCATGTAATCATCAGGTTATCTAAAGTCAACATGAAAGAAATAATTCTAAGACTAGTGAGACAAAGGCATCAAAACTTATAAAGGAAAATCTGTCAGACTAATGGCAGACTTCCCAGCAAAAAACTCACAAGCCAGAGGGGACTGGAATCCTATCTTTAGTCTTCTTAAACAGAGTAATGGTCACCAAGAATTTTGTATGGTGCAAAACTTAGTTTCATAAATGAGGGAGAAATAAGGTCTCTCCCAGTAAAGCAAACTCGGAGAGAATCTGTCACCACTAGACTGGACCTATAAGAAATGCTCAAAGGAATTCTAAACATCAGAATGAAAGTTCTATACGCAACAGTATAAAAAACATTCAAAAGTATAAAACTCACTGCTTATAAAATAGTAACATGATGGAGAATACAAAACAACTAGGTAGTAATCAACATGATGACTGGAATAGTATTTAATATATTACTATTAACTTGGAATATAAATGATCTAAATGCTCCACTTAAAACATAAGATTAGTGGAATTAATTTAATAAGCACAATCTAAGTATATGTTGCCTTCAAGAGACCCACTTAACTTGTAAAGATTCTTATAGACTCAAGGTAAAGGAGTGGAACAAAATATTCCACACAAATGGCATCCAAAAATGAGCAGCACTGGTCATTCTTATATCAGATAAATCAGACATTAAATCAACAAAAGTAAATAAATAAATAAATAATAAAAAGACATAGAAGGTCATTATATAATGATAGTTGGTCAACTCAACAAGAAGAGATAACAACCTTAAATAAACATACACCTAACACCAGAGCTTCCGGATTTGTAAAACAAATACTAATAGATTCCATAAAAGAGAAATACAGCAATACAGTCATAGTGGGGGACTTCAACACAACACTAGCTAGATCATTGAGGCAGAAAGTCAACAAAGGAACACTGGCCATAAACTGGATTCTAGGACAAATGGACCTAACAGAGGCTTACAGACCATTCTACACCAAACTAGAGAATATACATTCTTGTCATAAGCACATGGAATAGTTTCCAAGATAGACCATACAATAGGCCACAAAACAAGTTCCAATAAATTTTTAAAAAGAAAAATCATATCAGGCATCTTCTCAGACTGCAGCAGAATAAACCTAAAAATCAATTCCAAGAGGGATTCCCAAAACTATACAAATATGTGGAAATTAAATTATCTGCTCCTGAAGGACTTTTAGGTCAATGACAAAATCAACATTAAAATTAATAATTTTTTCAAAATGAATGATGACAGTGACACAAGTTATCAAAATCTCTGGGATACTGTAAAAGCAGTACTAACAGGAAAGCTTATAGCACTAAATGTCTACATCAAAAAAGACAAAAAGATCACAAATTGACAACCAATGTCACACCTCAAGGAGCTAGAAAAACAAGACAAACCAAACCCAAAGGTAGCAGAAAAGAAATAACAAATATCAGACCAGAACTAAACAAAACCGAAACTGAAAAAAAAATACAAAGATCAATGAAATGAAAAGTTGGTTCTTCGAAAAGATAAAATTGATAAATCACTAGCTAGATTAACCAGGAAAACAATAGAGAAGATTCAAATAAGCTCAATCAGAAATAAACATAGAAACATTACAACTGATACCACAGAAATACAAAAAATGATCTGAGATGATCTTTTGTATTTCTGTGGTATCAGTTGTAATGTCTCCATTTTCATGGATCTGATGTTCTATGAACATCTCTAAGCACACAAACTAGAAAATCTAGAGTAAATGAATAAATTTCTGGAAACACAAAACCCCAAGCTTGAATCAGAAAGAAATAGAAATCCTGAACAGACAAATAACAAGTAGTGAGATCAAATCAGTAATTTAAAAAATTTTCCAACAACATGAAGCCCAGGACCAGCTAGGTTCATGCTGAATGTGACCAGACATTAAAAGAAGTGATACCAATCCTACCAAAACTATTTCAAAAGATTGAGAAGGAGGAAATCCTAACTCATCCTATGAAGCCAGTATCACCCTGATACCCAAGTCAGGAAAGACACGACAAAAAAATAAAACTGTGGGCTGAGATCTCTGATGAACATAGATGCAAAAGTCCTCAACAAAACATAGCAAACCAAATACTATAGCACAACAAAAGGATAATTTGCCAGGATCAACTAAGCTTCATTTCAGGAATGCAAGGATGGTTCAACATATGCAAGTCAACAAATGTAATTCACCACATAAACAGAATTAATAACAAAAGCTATATGGTCATTTTAGCAGATGAAGAAAAAGCATTTAATAAAATTCAGCATCACTTCATGATAAAAAACCCCCAAGAAACTAGGCATAGAAGGAGCATACTTCAAAATAATAAAAGCCATATATGACACACCCACAGTGAACATCATACTGAAGGGGAAAAGTTGAAAGCATCCCCCCATAAGAACATTTCCCTTAATAAGTGGAACAAGACAAGGATGCCCACTTTCACTACTTCTATTGAACACATACTGGAAGTCCTAGCCAGAGCAACTATCCAAAAGAAAGAAATAAAAGGCATTCCAGTTAGAAAAGAGGAAGTCAAACTATGTTTGCCAATGATATGTTCCTATACCTAAAAAAACCCTAAAGACTCCTCCAAAAGACTACTGGATTTTGTAAATGAACTCAGTAATATCTCAGGTTACAAGGCCAACCCATGCAAATCAGTGGCACTGCTATATACCAATAATGACCAAGCTTAGAATCAAATCAAGAATTCCATCCCATTTACAATAGCTGCAAAACAATAAAATTTTTATTTTAAAGTATAAGGAATATATTTAACCAAGGATGTGAGAGATCTCTACAAGGAGAGCTACAAAACGCTGAGGAAAGAAACTGTAGATCACACAAACAAATGGAAAAACACCCCATGCTTATGGATTGGAAGAATCAATACTGTGAAAATGACCATACTGCCAAAAGCATTCTACAGATTCAATGCAATTTCTATCAATATACCAATATCGTTTTTCACAGAGTTAGAAAAAGCAATCCCAAAATTCATATGGAACCACAAAGAGCCCGAGTAGCCAAAGCAATCCTAAGCAAAAAGAACAAAGCTGAAGGCATCACATCACCCAACTTCAAATTATACTACAATGCTATAGTAGCCCAAATAGCATGGTAATAGTGTAAAAATAGACACATAGACCAATAGAACAGAATAGAGAACCCAGAAATAAAGCCTAATCCCTACAACCAACGAATCTTTGACAAAGCAGACAAAAACATACACTGGGGAAAGTACACCCTATTCAACAAATGGTCCTGAGAAAACTGTCTAGTCACATGCACAAGAATAAAACTGGATCCCTATCTCTCACCATATGAAAAAATAACTTAAGATGAATTAAAGACTTAATTGTAAGACCTGAAACCATTAAAATTATAGAATGAAACCTAAGAAAAACTCTTCTGGACATTGGCCTAGGCAAAGAATTTATGACTAAGACTCCAAAAGCAAATGAAATAAAAACAAAAATACATAAGTTAGACTTAATTAATCTAGCAAGCTTCTGCATAGCAAAGGAAATAATCAAAAGAGTAAACAAACTACAGAATGAAAGAAAAGATTTGCAAACTATGCATCTGACAAAGGACTAATATCTATAATCTACAAGGATCTCAAACAAGTCAGCAAGAATAAAATGAATAATCGCATTAAAAAGTGTGTAAATGACATGAAGAGACGTTTTTCAAAAGAAGACACACAAATGGGCAAAAATGTGAAAAAAATGCTTAACATTACTAATTATCATGGAAATGAAAATTAAAACTACAATGAGATACCACCTTATCCTAGTCAGAATGGCCATTATTTAAAAAATCAAAAAACAATAGATGTTGATGTAGATGTGGTGAAGAGGGAATGCTTATATACTGTTGGTGGGAACGTAAATTAGTGCAACTTCTACGGAAAACAGCATGGAAATTTCTCAAAGGACTAAAAGTAGATCTACCATTCAATCCAGCAATCCCACTATTGGGTTTATCTAGTCAAAGGAAGAGAAGTCATTTTATCAAAAAGACAACTACACTCATATATTTATCACAACACAACTCACAATTGCAAACAGGGAATTCTACCTAAGTGCCCATGAAACAATAAGTGGATAAAAAGAATTTGGAATATATATACTATGGAATACTACTCAGCCCTAAAAAAATGAAATCATGTCTTTTGCAGTAACTTGGATGGAATTGGAGGCCATTATCCTAAATGAAGTGACTCAGGAATAGAAAACCAAATACCACGTTTTCACTAATAAGTGGGAGATAAGTATGCATACACAGGGGCACATAGAGTGGTATAATGCAGCAGTCCCCAACCTTTTTGGCACCAGGGAATGGTTTCATAAAAGACAGTTTTTCCATGGATTGGTGGGGATGGTTTGGATATGAAACTGTTTCACCTCAGACCATCAGGCATTAGATTCTCATAATGAGCACGCAACCTACATCCCTCGCATGCACAGTTCACGATAGATTTCATGCTCCTATGAAAAGCTAATGCCGCTGCTGATTCGACAGGAGGCAGAGCGCAGGCAGTGATGTTCACTTGCCTACTGTTACCTCCTGCTGTATGGCCCAGTCACTAACAGGCCACACACCATTACCAGTCCATGGCCTGGGGGTTGGGGATCCCTGGTATAATAGACACCGGAGACTAAGAAGTAGGGAGGGTGGGAAGAGGGTGAGGGATGAAAAATTTGCTCTTGGGTTCAATGAACACTATTTGGGTGACAGGTACGCTAAAAGCTCAGAATTCACTACTATATAATTCATCCATGTAACCAACAACCACTTGTACTCCTAAAGCTATTGAAATTTAAAAGAATAACAAAAAAAAGGATAATGAAGATTAGCTAAGCCATGCTATGATCATCAGCTCCCATCTGAGGGTCCAGCTGAAAGACCATATCCTTTGCCTTCCCTTCTAGGTACAGGCATAGGAGGCAATTCTAAAATGAGAAGGGTGGGCATCTCTGCTGGGGGACTGTTGAGAGTTGTCTGCCTCATCAAGGAAGAGACATGTGGGAAGAAATCATTTCTTTCTGTGCCTCTAGGCATTGTCATGAGGCCTTAGCTCCTGGAACTCTAGCCATCATCTTGTGTTTATTTGGAGGTGATCTGGTGGAACAAGGATCTGAGAGCCAAAAGACAGAGAGAACCTGGCACCCTGTTGATACTGCAAGCTTACAGCTTTCTCACTCCTGCAAGACTCTGCACTGGGACTTCTTGTTATGTGAAATAACGGCTTGCCCTGACTATGTAAGCCAGTTGAGTCAGGAATTTCTGTGACCTGCTGCCAAAAGTATCTTAACTGACACAGACTACTTGAGTTGAGAGTTTCAACAGCTCATCCTCTAAACTCTTTTATTGGAATTTCTAAGCAGCAGAGTGAAGTTTTTAATTTTTTAAAATTTTCCCTTTTAATCTTGTTTCTTCCTTCTCTCATGGCCTTATTCACCCCTTCTTCACTCCTCTCATCCTCCTCTGAGACCTTGGCAATCTCCTGCCTAAGCCTCTAAAATTTAAGTGTCTCCTAGCTGTCCTTCTTCCCTCCCCAGGGGCCTTTAATGATCTTTTCTCTAATCCATCCTGTGATACTGCTTGCCTAATCCAAAACAATACTTTCGTCATGTCACCTCTCTGCCAAGAACCTGAGATGATGACCTACTTTCTGTCATATAAAGCCTAGAATTTTCAAGGCCCTCCAAAAATCCAATCCCACCCTATCTATTCAATATCAGATTCCTTTCTGTGCTCTCCTCTGCACACCCTATTTTGCTCACATATTTAATTACTCCCTAACTGCCTCCTTCTTTCATGGCCCTTTGTCAAATGCTACCCATCCTTCAAGGCTCCAATTAAATTTTGCCTCCTCCTTTCAGCTTCAACCTCTCGTTGTTATTATAATCAGTAATGATATTTGGTACTTAGATTAAAACAATGCTATGTCAGTAGCTTAAGTACCAAATATCATTACTGATGGAAATTATGGCACAATTTGATTAATTCTCCATTAGGGTAAAAAATTTGAAGTTTTTTTTTCACTGACAGAGCAGAAAGTACTGTGACTTAAATTTCATAGTGAATTGTAGCTGATTACATGTATTTTGATAGTTCTACACTTTTGAGAGTTAGCAATTCATCTGATCCTATTTGAGAAATCTCTTTCTCTCAGTGACACTGATACTGTTAATAGTCTTCTGCTGGTTTAATGATATTGAGTTTTGTCTCCATTATGAAGCACACAAAAACTATGCTAAAGTATTTTTATTGCCATGGTAATTCAATTAACATTTCTGGGACACTTACTTCTCTCTTCTCTCTCTTCCTTCCCTCTCTCTCTCTTGCACTCTCTCTCTCTCTCTCTCTCACACACACACATACACAAACACACAACCCAGTCCTTATTCATTGTCAGTCACATAGTAGATGCTAAGTAAGTAACTTTGATCCATTTCACCTACTAAGTATTTCTTGAATCCTTCCTATTTCCATGGTCACCACTCTAGTCCTAGCTAGCCTCTCCTCCTTTTCCTGTATCTGTTTTTTCCCCTCAATCCTTTCTCTATAGAGCAACCAATGTAATATTTCAAAACTGTATCCAATCCTGATTAAAACACTTATTCAACAGCTTGTTAAGGGACTCAGGCTAAAGGCCAAAGTCACTGTAGTGAGTTTGAGGGATGTCAGGACTGATGGGGGTGGGGGAGGACGACATGACCCCCAGGTGGCAGTAGCACACAGTGAGCTTAATTTGGAAGACACTTTGGTTGCACGTGAAGGAAAGTCCCTCACAGCATGAGACCTTGCAGGGCTAACAAACGGGCCACCACCCAAAAGGGCAGAAGGTCAAGGAACTCCCAGGGGAGAAGGGCATTATGACCCAGGCAATGTCATCAGCAACAGGGTAGACAGCCTCAGGGCCAGAGAGCTGCTAAGGGCTGCAGCAGCTAGGAGTCTTTGATCACCCCAGGGTTGTCTTACATATGGCTAGCAGACAGGTACAGTTTTACAGAGTGCACAAGGCAAACATGCTCTAAATGGTTAAAAATCTGCTTCTTTGTGCTATATTTGAAACAACTGGATGTGTAGAAACTTGACTTTAGCACTACTGGGCTTTTTAACTAAAGGTTCAGGTCTGCTGTGAAAAAGGGAACAACTTACGGTCAAGAAGCAGGGGTTACCTTTGGATTCTTTCCGTCTATGTAAGTCATTAACCTGACCTTTGGGCCCCCTTCTCCAGTCTCCCACACCCCTCTCCCCACTCACTGACCAGTCTCCCCAGGGACTGGAACCCTCCTCATGTTTGCAGGGTATTCTCACCACACAGGAAATTTGTGCCCCTTCCACACTCCTGCTTCCTTACTGAAGGGCGCCCATGCTTCAGAACCCATTATTCTGCCTCTGATTTGATCAAATGCTCCTATAAAATGCTTTCACAGTGCCAGGTGTCCTTAGTGCTATGCATTTATCTCAGTTGGAATTAATTCATTGTGAATGGTGTCCTTAATTTCTGCTTCCCTGCTGGGATTCAAATTCCCTGGGGTTCTACCCCCAGAACCTGGTACAATGACTTACCCATAGTAGGTATACAATAAATACTCATTGCATGAAGAAAAAAATGCCTAGAAGAAAGAGAGAATGGGTTATTAAAATACCCAATAACCTGAATAATGTGAAAGTGTGAAACCAAATTTTGATTTTTTTTTTTTTGGCTACTAACTGGCACATTCATTTAAAACATATTTTTCATCCACGGTTATTAAAAATTCTTAGATATTTTCATCCAGGATTATTAGAATTTTAAAATATTTACCCAAGTCTCACCACTATGGAACCCTTTATTACAAATATATGATCCCAGGGAGTCAATAGTACTTTCAAACTGTACTATATATATCATTGAAAATTGAATAATACTGGAGAAATCTATGAAAATATTTAAAGTTAAATTATGTACCAGCTCAAGAATTTAACATAGCAGAATTTAGTCTGTAAAGAAATAAAATCACCAAGTTTAAAAGAATATTAAATCACTGTTTATACTGGCAAGATAAATCTAAATCACCTTACTGGCCTTTCTAGAAGTAATTTGAAAGATGTGAATTAAGTGGGGGTAAAGGTTGTTCTTATACTGTTATTTTTGTGGGTTTCAATATAAGATCAAAAGATTAAAATCATTTTTAAAGCAATTAATTTATTATAATGTTTACCCTAAACTCAGATTTCTATACAAAACTAGTGATTGAAGTTAGGTCATTTTAGGTTAGAACTACTCAATAATTTTGTGTTTTATAAGTGTTCGTAAATTTCATCCATAATTTTAAAAGAACACTAGTCACTTTCTTACATAATTTATGGCACAATCTTTATGCCATAATACTTAAAGAACATAATGCTGTACATTTTAAATCAATTTTGACAGTGGCCTATATTTCTACTCACAAGCTATTATTAAGATACAATGCAGTTGAGAGATATTTTATGTAAAAAAGTATATCAGTCAACTCAAATGAACTCTTGTTCCCAATGATGACATATTATCCTCTAATTAAATCAGCTAAGATAACTCACAATCGCTCTAAAATTAATGCCCAAATCAAGAGTTTAACAAGTGACGCTTCTAATAGCCCAACTTTTAGATTGCTTTGATACCTGGAATTAATGTGATTCTTTTAGAAATCTAGTGACTTGTAGAATCATTACAAAAACAAAAATTGAAGTTCACCTCACTCATTTGTGACTTACACTGTCCTTCCAAAAACTTTTAAAGAAATCAGCTAACTAAACAGGGGGCAAAGAAATAAGAAATCTTTGAACCAGGCAGATAAACAGAAATTAAACAATTTATCTCAAACTACGATATTTACTGTGGCTTTAAAGAGTAAGAGTTACCAAACACTGTTTTCCATTTAAGTTAATGTGATATCTCCATGGAAACTGGAAAAAAAAAAAAAAGTTGTGTAAATTGTAAATGTATTAAATTAGTTGGTTTGCCGGGGGAGCAGACAGAAAGACAGGTTTCCAGAGAAAGGAAACGCCCACTGGGCAAAGATCAGTGAAAAGGAAACATTATGTATTTTGAAACAAGCAAATAATCTTTTTAAACTGTAGATTTTTAGATAAATACTTGATAAATTAATATCAAATAGATGAAGACTTTAGTGCTTTTTTAATATCCAGCTGTAACCCAACTCTCAAAATACCTGGGACAGAAAAAGTTGCAAAATAAATACTGAAAACAGAGCTAGTTACATTTTTTTTTCTAATCTGTGGAGATAAATGTTCTTACTCCCTCTAGCCCCATGAATAACTTTCCAGCATGAGCTTTGTTGGACTAACCCAATATTTCAATAGGCCTAGTATACTGAAAGAAACCAAGACATGTACTTTAGTTTCTGTGTTTTATGTAACTATATCTTGCCAGAAAACGTTCAGAAAAAGGCATAAACGCATGAACCATTTAATGGTGGTAGCATGGCCAATTCCTGAGAATACAAAATCCAAAGTCAAAGTGATATTGAGAATTAGAGACGTTGGAACAAAATAGAAACGTATTTAGCATGCAAAACTGGAAGGGATACATATATGTATATAGTGATTAATAATACCAGACTATATATATATATATACGTATATATATATATATATATATATATACATATATATATATATATGTATATATATATATATATACGTATATATATATATGTATATATATATATACGTATATATATATATATGAAATGAGGAAAGAATAGATTTTGCATGCATTCATTCAAAATAAATGGTGAATGTTTAATACTGTAAGGCAGTGAGCCAAGTTAGGTATATAGACCCTGGAGTCAGAGTGCCTGGGTTTGAACTGCAGCCTCATTACTTACTAGTAGAGTCACCCTTAGGTAAGTTTATTAAAGTTCCTGTCACACAGCCTTTTTATCTATAAAATGGGGTTAATGTGTAGTATCTACTAAGTTATTGGAAGAATTCAGTAAGGTGATATTATAAAGGTAATAATTTTTAAGTAGGTGATGGGCACATAGTAAATTCTATATAAGAGATTGTTAAATAATGTCACATTACATAAGTAATGAAAACATGATCATGTAGGCCAATAAGTCACTGTTAACTACAAAGTGTTATAATTAATGATCCTAGCAAGACTCAAGGCATAAAACAGTGGCAGAGTAAGCCTGAAACAACATTCTCTGAATTTCCCAGAGTTTTAAGCAGGTGCTATTTTCAGTGGTAGAGTTCCTTTAGAAGTTTAGAGCCACCAACATGAGGAGGATTGGAAACTTAGGTCATAATTCTGATGAATGAGGAAAGACTAGAATGTTTCACACTGACCTTTGATGAGAGTAACTCTCCTAACAAAGAACCTGATGATTCACTGCTCAGTATCTTCCCAGAGGATAGAACAAGAAAAAATAAGCAAGCATATTGTGAAGGCTTTTGGCTAGATATCTGGAAACATTTCTATACCACAAGAATTGCTAAATATTAGAATGGATTGCTGAAAGGGGATCAAGAGTCTACTCCTTTGGAAGTTTTTCAAACAAGGATAAATAGTCTATCTGATCTCCTTGCCATGGTTTAAAATCAGTGCTGAGTGAAAACTGATGGTGCAAACTGCCCCTTGAAGGCCTCCTCCTTCCCAAGCATTCTCTGAAAGCATAACTTTATATATTACCTGTGATACTTCCTCATCTGTTGGGTTTCCATTCTATCCTAGAATAGAAAAGGGCAACACTATTTCACAATTGTGAGTTCTGAGTAAAACTTTGATAATGTCATGATGAAACATAATGTCCTTATTACTTCTCAAGTTATTTCACTAAGCAAGCTACCTGCAAATAGCTTTCAATTAGAAACAGCTGTCATGAATCTGAAGTCTGAACAGCAATTCTTTTAAATTTATGTGCCCTGGCAGATTGAAGACACATGAAATTCTTCAAGCAAACCATTAGATGCCCAATCAAGGCAAAGGATAAAAAAGAGTTTAAGAAAAGATAACCACTTACACTAGATAATTAAATGTAAACAGTATCAAGAACTAGGGAGGAGAGATAGAGTGTGTTCCTGTAACAACAGGGTATATTTCCTAAGTGATTATTAAAACAGCAATAGGTAGCATTAAGTAAAGTTGATTTTGAAAAAACAAGTATATCCTTAAAAAACACAATTATCTTTCAATTCATTATTTTCCTATTAAATGTGCCTCTGACCCTGTGGTGACCTGCATCTTGATTATGTCTACCAGCATCAAAGGACACAAGGCTTAAAGCAAAGTTAACAGTATGCCCTTACTCATGGAAAGTAGGTGAGTTTAAAAAAAAAAAAGTGCACACATTTTAGAAATTCATAGCTAATAAGCAAACACTGTAATTGTAAAAAGGTGGGGAGGAAACCAAAAACAAAAACAAAAACCTCTTTAGTTAAATATCCACCGAAGAATTTACATGAACCCCTGGGAATGTTCTCAACAAACATTCATGGTGACTACAGAAATTGTTTTACACTGAAAATCTTCACTTTGATATTAAAGAGATGTGCCTGATGCTGAGGATGAACTCTAGTCTCCTGAGAGTCCCATTATCCTCTAAAGAATACCGAAGCAATTTAAAAATACCTAACTATTTTCTTCTTTGAGACATCTTATCTGAAATCATGTTGGGAAATATCTTGTGTGCTTAAAAGATACCGTTTGAAAAAGCCCAGATTAAAGGAGAAAAAGTTCCTAGAAGAAGTGATCCATACTATAAACCTTTTAAAAAGTTGAATTCCCTGAGATTTGGGGAGGGAAAAAAAAAAGCGAAGCTGATCCTTATCAATTAATTAAAAAGAATGAAATAACAGTAGACAAAGGAGAAGGAGAGTTAAGAAACTTAAGGAGCTGTGGGGACAGTCGCTCTCTATTCATTGATTAACAAATTAAGGAGTTCTGGAAAAGAAGGAAGAAGTAACAAGGATAGAAAAGTAGGCTTATAATTCACCACAGATTCTAACTTAGACTCAGCAAAGGGAATGTCTGGCTCTGAACTGAAAAAGCTCCTTCTATATAATGAGCGTGGTAATTTGCGCCTCTTTTTTTCCCCCTTTGCCAATGCTCAAATTTATTTAAATGTGTTCATTTCAGTGTAAGTAAAAACCCTCACTTCTACAGCTTGAAAATCATAAGAAAATAGTAATTCCTCAACGTATCGAAACTGTGATGTTCTAAGATATCTGCAAAATGCTTTTCATCCATCCACCAGTTATTTGGCAAAAAGCAGACAGAGGCTGGTGGAAATTCAGCGTTTTGACTTGACGATCTGAGGTCACTAAGGACTTCAGCTGCCCGGTTTGAGCAGCCCGCGCCCTCGCAGCATCTCCTGGCCTCCCTCGGCCTCTCTCAGTTCTGTTCTTTAGCAGCCAAAGGATTATCTCTCCCCGACACGTTTCATTCACAGAGCCCCAGAGAAGCTCGGATTCGGTTGGAGCTAAGAGCCGGAAAACAAGCACCCAGACTGCCGCGCAAGTTGTCGGAGACCAAGTGCTACACACACTGGCGCCGAGAGAAAGGGTGGGCGCTCTCAAGCTCTTGGTGGAGCAATGCCAGTGGCCGGGCATGCGGGGGACACGGGGCCCCCGAACCCGGACCCGAATCCCCAGCTGAGCCACCCGCTAAAGTTGGCTGTTCGCTGGCAGACGAGGCCGGCTCCAGACCGGGTGGCAGGGTGTCCCCGGGCCCTGAGTGGCCAACAGCAACTGGGGAAGCACTGAGGAACCCTAACGGGAAAGCCCGCCCCACATCTGAAACAGGCAGCCCGTGAAGTCCCCAAACCAGCCTTGAAACGCCGGCGTCCAGAGGCCAGGTCCCCGGCGAGGGTCCCTCCCAGCCTTGCCCGCCCCCGGCCCGAGCGCCGGGCGCTCTGTCGCCCGAAGGACGGATAGGGGAGAGAGGGGCTGGGGGAGCCCTCCGCGTCTCTCCACCGCCCCTGCCGGCGCAAGGGCGGGAGTGGAGAAGGCGCCACTCAGACTGTGGCGCTGGGCAAACTGCGGTCGCAGTTCTTCCAAGTTTGCCCGAACCAGAACGCGGAGTGAGCGCCCGGCTCGGCTCTCCGTCTGCGCCTTGCAGCCGCCCCGGAGTGACCCGGGCTCCCTGGCCAGCCGGGCCTGAGCCATCAACTAAGGGGTAGAAGGGCGCGAGAGCAGCGGGAGGCGGGAGCCAGGGTGCTCCCGCGTGTGCACACAATGAGGCGGCGGAGACGCACACCTTCCCCCGCCGAAGAAGCCGCAGGAGCATCCGCCGCCCAACACGGAGACGCGGAGTCCCATAGCGGTGGCAGAAAGTGAGCACCAACTCAGCAACAGGGGGAAGGAAGGGGACGCCGGGCGGCCAGTGGGACGTGCGGCAGCCGAGGGCTGCAGCCTGCCCCTGCAGCGCGCCCGCGCTTACCTGCGATCTCCTGGTAGGGGATGTCCGCCAGGCTGAATCCCTTGGCACCGTACGCCTGGCGGACCTCTCCGCAGCTCCGAGCCTTCACATCCGCCCCGGCGGGGAGGGAGAGCAGCAGCCCCAAGAGGGGAAGAATCACAGCCCCGATCCAAGAAGGCATGGTGCAACATACAAATCCAGCTCGGTAAACCCCACGGCCGGTGCGCTCTTCACCTTGCCCCTCAAGCCGAAAGCCCGCCAGAGGCAGCGGCGCGCTCCTCGCCGCTGCCCAGCGTCACCCCCTTCTGCCAGCCGAGGGGACGAGCAGCGCAGCCCTCTGGACTGCGCTCAGCAAACTTTTATAAGCCAGATGGACGATGGCAAGCCAACAAGGGCTGGCTGGGAAGGCTGCTGCCTTGCTCCTCTAGCCCCCAGATGGAAACGGTGCAATCAAAACGAGGAAGAGAAGGAAAAGAAGTGTTTAAAAAACCACCATGGGGGTTCAGAGCTGCAATCCGAGTTCCGAGCCGCAGAATCCTGGAGCGCTGCGGGCTCGGCTCGCCGGAGTGTGCGGCAAAGGTGGGAGCGCGCGCCGGCTCCCCCGGGAGGGAGATGGACAAGCGAGAGCGAGTGTGTATGCGCGCGTGTGTCTGTTGGTGTGAGCTCGAGGTTCTTGGGGATGTGTGTGCGTGGAGGTATGTGTTGGGGATATACGAGATCTAGGGGAAACCTCAGCTTAACACAGGCTGTGGGAGCCTGTGAGAGTCCTCCTGAAATAGGAAGAGAGAAATCCTGGAGACAGTCACTGGAGGCAAGAGGGAAGGAGAAAGGAGGGGGGAGAAAGAAACGTGCTACACATTGCACAGCCGAAATTCACAGGCCGAGTCAAAGGCAAAACCTGGACTGGATCTCTTCCTAGTCGGTAGAAAGGGGAAAAAAAGAAAAAGAAACGTACCTATTTTCTTATTCACTTCACATCCTTTATACCGATCTGAAATGACATCAATAAACAATCTAGAAAGACAAGGTAATTTTAAGTCATTAACATGTTATTAAGCTGTATTTTTATGGAGGTAAAGGATAACGCAGTTCCAATTGTTGCTCTTAATATGTGTCCCTGACCTACTGAAACACAAAGCCAGAGTGGAAATAGTCATAGACGGGAGTTCATGGGTGGCAGAGCACAATCACGGCTCTAACTAGTTGCCTAATTTCTGTTTGACTTTGTTTTTTTCTAAAGGCACACATTACAGACTGGTAGTTCTTAATTTTTAAAGGTTTGGTTCTAGACTCAACAATTTCCCCTTTTTTTATTTCAAATATCTCATAGCCTTCGATCAGAAATCATTATGCTTAGGTTTCTAATGTGTGGAGGATCGGGAAAGCTAACAACCAGACCACAGAAGCAACAAGAAAAGGAGAGCACAAGGGTCAGAGGTGCATAAAGGGACATAATGGGGGAAGGGAGGTGATTCCTTCCCTCTCACTAGATGCCCTCACATAGTAGACTTAACATTTTCTTCCAAGTTAACATAATTCTCAAGTGGAGAATCAATCCAATTTCTTCTTCCTGTCTCCATTTACACTGATGTTCTGTGAACGGGATAAAAGTGAAAATTCAGGTTTGCCTAATTGACTTTGTTATGCTAATGGACGCACTAAAGTCAGCTGGCAGAAGTGTGTGTTGAAACCCAGAGCTCCTGAAACTACTAAGATAGTTTAATGAAAACCAAGACAAAATAATAATAATAATAGTGTTTATTCACTTACGTGGCTATGTGTCATAGGTCAGCACATTATTCACAAACTACTACAAGGTAATGCACAGTTTTGTGGAGCTCACCTATGAAGCTACACATGAAGATGTTTTCCTGATGATGATATGAATGACCAGAATGACTCATGAAGTTTAAATCTTTGAGTTTGTCATTATCATCACAACATATTAGGTACATTGTCTTCCTCTCTTTAATAAATTCCCCCTCTCCTAACCACCAAAAAGACTCTCAAGATTCAACCTCATTTAACCTTTCCAAACGCTTTAAAAATGAAGTCGACTTATTTACAGAGCCACTTTGTCTTCTTCAAACTCATAGGTCAAGACAAAACAAAACCAAAAAAAAAAAAAACAAAACAAAACAAAAAAAAAAACTCCATAGCTAAATCTTTCTGAAAACGCAACACACTTAACTTTTTTTCTCTTAAAATTTTAGCACAGTTTTTTGCTTTCACAATATTTATGCTAACTGGCAGATCTTAAATCACTGAACTTATTTTCCCTCAAGTCGGAAATCAAGATAAAATATATTCTGGTTATGTTTGTGGACAAACGGTGAGGTTGATAGGCTCAGGAATTGCAGTCAAGTTATTACTTCTGTCATATTTGACAACGTGACTTCCTTCAAACTTCTCTTTGTATCATAGTAAAGCATTATGCACTCCAGAGGAAGAGGGTAAAAACACACACTTCCTGTCCTACCACCTTATCCTGGGACTCATTGTAATTTACCCTGACTCAGTATAGCAGATAATTCATTATTTTAAATGGAGGTAAAGGAAGAATGGGTAAAAGCATAGTATATGTGGTTTTAAATTATTTGAAGATCAGCTAATTGTTAAGTATTGAATGAGCACTCAATACAACTTTATAGCACTAGACTATTGCACACCGTCCCTATACTTATAAAATGATCTTAGGATTTGTGGCAAAGATATTACATGAGACGAATGACTAAATAGATTAGTTTAATTCCATCAGGAGAGTCAAATAGTTTAGGGTAGGTTTGTGAACTCAAGTCAGACCAAAGAATTAGATAACTTGCTTTACTGGTGACCTTAACCCTGCCTGGTCCATTTGTTGAGTAATGTCACACTGTTTGCAGTGGTGTAAGAGACAAAGTCAAACATTCCAGTTAACACTGAGAGCCACAGCAGGAGCCTAGACAAGGGATTGGAATGAGAATGGAATGTTATGGAAGTTCCTGGAAGAGGCCTGACCAGACAGGAGAGAGGTCATATGGAGGAGCAGGCATCTGGTTTAGACAAAAAGGTCAGCTAATGGCTGGAATCCTAGCTGTAGTATTCATCTTGTGTGTAGTAGGAAAAAAGAATATGGATAAATGCCATACAAGAGGAAGCAAACGAGGCCAGGCACGGTGGCTCATGCCTATAATCCCAGCACTTTGGAAGGCCGAGGCAGGCAGATCACCTGAGGTCGGGAGTTTGAGACGAGCTTGACCAACATGGAGAAACCCCGTCTCTACTGAAGATACAAAATTAGCTGGGCGTGCTGGCACGTGCCTGTAATCTCAGCTCCTCGGGAGGTTGAGGCAGGAGAATCACTTGAACCTGGGAGGCAGAGGTTGCGGTGAGGCGAGATCGTGCCATTGCACTCCAGACTGGGCAACAAGAAAGAAACTCCGTCTCAAAAAAAAAAAAAAGGCCGGGCGCGGTGGCTCACGCCTGTAATCCCAGCACTTTGGGAGGCCGAGGCGGGCAGATCACGAGGTCAGGAGATCGAGACTATCCTGGCTAACACGGTGAAACCCCGTCTCTACTAAAAATACAAAAAATTAGACGGGTGTGGTGGCCGGCACTGCAGTCCCAGCTACTCAGGAGGCTGAGGCAGGAGAATGGCGAGAACCCGGGAGGCGGAGCT
The DNA here is from genome assembly GCF_000001405.40 of Homo sapiens. Taxonomy (NCBI): domain Eukaryota; kingdom Metazoa; phylum Chordata; class Mammalia; order Primates; family Hominidae; genus Homo; species Homo sapiens. Next base: position 93,223,979 of record NC_000013.11, on the reverse strand, counting down.
TGCAGTGAGCCGAGATCCCGCCACTGCACCCCAGCCTGGGTGACAGAGGGAGACTCCGTCTCAAAAAAAAAAAAAAAAAAAAAGCAAACAAATAGCATGAGGTAAACGGATACCTAGAATAGGACGATGGAAAATGGAAAGATGTAGATAGATTCTGAGGAAAGGATTGGCAGGAGTTGGTGCTTGGTTCAATACACAAGAAGAATTACTAAATATTTATTTTAAGATTGTGTCTCTGCTGGGTGTGGTGGCTCACGCCTGTAATCCTACCACTTTGGGACGCTAAGGAGAGTGGCTTGCCTGAGCTTCGGAGTTAGAGACCAGGCTAGCCAACATGGCGAAACCCCTTCTCTACTAAAAATACAAAAAATTCGCTGGTGTGATGGTATGTGCCTGCAGTCCCAGCTACTTGGGAGGCTAAAGCAGGAGAATCCTTTGAACTCTGGAGGTGGAGGTAACAGTGAGCAGAGATCACGCCACTGCACTCCAGCCTGGGAGAAAGAGTGAGACTCTGTCTCAAAAAAAACAAAACAAACAACAACAAAAACAAGACAAAAAAAAGATTGCATCTCATTAGGAAAATATGGTACGTTTAATAAAAGACAATACAACTCCTGTTTATACAGTACTTTCACATCCCAGCTGGTTTTCACAACAACCCGTTTTGGGCATCACATGAATGGAACCTCAGAGACTTTCAGTTGTAGAGAAAAATAGACACAGTCTTGAAGAGCAGCCATAGGTGACAGACGAGTCGTGCAGCCCCTGTCAGTCACATATCCCACAGCCATCGCCCTTTCTTTTTTGCTTCTCTAAGACTGATTATGTCAGGGGGCATTGTGCTCACCACCAAGGGATGAATCACAATTAGCACTTTTCCCTGGTGTAGGGGTGGGTGTAAGACCCATTTCTAGCCAATGTGATTTATGGAGATTTCTGAAAAAAAAAAAAAAAAAAAAAGTGTTTTCCCTGATTAAAGGAGCAGAAGGGCCATTTTGCCTCAGCCTCCTGCCTTCTTAGAGCTACACAGCCATCTTTTGCGTAAGAGACAAGACATTGCTAGAAGACAGACAATGACAATGGAGGGATGCAAAGAACCTTGAGTTCCTATTTGAGTCACCAAACCAGCCTTAGGACTTCCAACTTCTGGACTTCTTGTTAAATAATCAATAAATATCCTGTTGTTTACACCATTGTTAGTTGGTTATTCTACTGTTTACAAGTAAAAGCAACTTAACCTATACACCAAACTCAATGAATAATAAGAAAATTTAAAGGCAAGAGACAGTGAATAGTTGCAAAGG